>NC_000009.12:107614491-107766006 GCF_000001405.40 Homo sapiens
TCACAGACCACACAGGTTCTAAGCAAGCTGTCCAGGGCCACTCAGCAGTTCCTCCTCCTCTCCTCATCCTGAGAAGGACTGATGGGACTGAAGAAGACCCTGGACACTCTCTCAGGGTCCCAGTGCTTGTGAGGCTGGGCATGGTGTGACATGCCCTGGAGCGTGGGGCACTCACACATTGTGAATGGGCACCTGGCCGGCCAGCCTGCCACACTGTCCTTCAAGAGCCCTGTCACAAATCTCCGCTGATCGTTCTCTGTTAGAGCTCTGCTTTACCCATGGTTTGGGTTGAATTGACCTGGGGGTTCAGGGCAAAGCCAGGCAGAGAGGAATGGAGAGCCACTGGGCCACCGAGTGCACAGGTGCTGGCCCTTCCAACTCAATCGGTCTCACAACCCTGGCGGAAGGCGCCAGAGGCTTGTAAAAGACCAGGATGTTTCTACAGGTGTTTGCAGTAAAGGGCTTTCCCTACTCCCAGACTTCAGTTCAAGACTGGTTTGGGTCTGGGAGTTTCTCACTTTCCCTAATTCCTGAACAAACAAAACAAATCCATTTTGAGCTTCTGGCTGGATTCCCTCCCCACACAGAGGAAGAGAGAAACTATGATCCACAAGCACCTGCCATATCATCCGTGAGATAGCACACTGATCCTGACAGCAGCCCCCACCCCCAGGCTGGAGTGAATAACCCCCACGCAGAGGGAACGAAGGCCCATGGAAGTGGAGGTCATGCAGTCAGGAGGTGGAAGGTGGTATCTGAACCGAGGACTTGAGCCCCCAAACCCTACACAACTTTACTGCTTCTGAGGCTATGAAGGAGAAAGATTGAAGCAGGGCCTGAGAAAAAGGCCAAGTGGATTAGTGAGGAGGCTGGGGAGAGGAGGAAAAGGGAAATATATAAATAAATGCACACAGTTATTGCCTCATCAAGGCAAATGAAGTTTGCTCATGTGGTGGGAAATTGTGAAACTTGGCTATGAAAGCTTTATGTTAGATAGATTGTGAGGCCCACATGATGAGAGTTCTCCCAGCACACCCTTTTCTCTCCAGCCTCTAATCAGAGATCCGGTTGCTGGTTCATGCTTTTCTACCCAGCTTGATCAGATTTATTGAAACAGCCATTTTTCTTACTCAACCACCTCTTCTTGGAAGTTCTGCAAACTTACAGAAGCCATCCAACCACAGGAGGCAAGGGGCAAAGTGACACACTCTGTAATTTTAGTGCCTCCTTCAGAGCCTCTTTGTTGGAGGAGTTATTGCCATCTCCATTGCTCAAATGAGGATGCAAGTGCAGAGAGTTTATGATATTTGTCCAAGGTCAAACAGCTGACAGTGATGAAGCCAGACTTGGAGCTCAGCTCTGCCAGATTCTGGAATGCATCTCTTTCCATAGTCCTTGTCTGAGGCCTGCTTAAAATATGGCATTCCCATGTATTCTCCAATTCAATTGTCATAATAACCTTAGAAATTCAGGTATTGTTGTTAGTGCCTCCATTTCACAGAGAGAAATTTCATCAAGGAGGTTAAATGCTTTGACTGAGACCTCACAACTTTTGAGTGCATGGTAGAACTTGCACCTGAATTTCATAGACTTGAACTTCCGATATTTTTTATTATACTATATTTAAAGAGCATAATCCTTCATCTTTCCATCTGCCCATCCATCCATCCATCCATCCTTCCATCCATCCATCCATCCATCCATCCATCCATCCATCCATCCATCCATCCATCTTTCCTTCCATCCATCCACCCATCAGGCCATTCACTCATTCACCCACCTATCCATCCATCCACATCCATCCATCCACCCACCCACCCACCAACCCAATCATCTTTTCAGTGCCTACTTTGTAGCAGGTCCTATACTAGGTCTAGGTAGAGTAATATGGTCATGAAAACTTTCATTTGTCTCCAGAAGCCTGTAGCCTTTAAAAGAACAGATATCCAATTACATGATATAATGCTGAAATAAGTGTGGCAGTAGAAATATGTAGATTGAGGGAGACTAGGTCTGCCCAGTTGGTTGGGAGAGGTGGTGATACTCTGCCCCTGCTTGTTGAGTACTTTGTTTTGAAAAGCATGTTTTGCATGTATTTTTCAAAATCTCCTAATTGAATGAGGCACCTGCCTCTGTGGCATCCTTGTGGGCAGTGGTTGAGCAGGAAGTCATCCTCCATGCGAATTAGGTTAATTTGGTGAAAATGAAATGAATAGCTCTGTAATCTGGGGTGATGGAAATCCCAGGGGGCACAAAGCTAAACTTGTGGCAGAAGCTGCTAATTGAATTGTGACCTTGGGTTCTAGCTGGTTACATAAACCATCTTCAGGTGAGAACTAACCGGAGCTTACCCAGCTGGCAGGGGCTGGGCTGCCTCTTCTCATTAGGATCCTGACTGCATTTCTGTAACTGCCCAGACTTGTTGAAAGGGCTTCTTTTCTTTTCTGGAGTTCGCATGTCCTAGGAGGTCCTAGGAGGACTCTGGATGGACTTCAGTGACCTGTGAATCCCTTAAATTAGAAGCAAAATTCATGTACGTGTATATGTTCCCGGAAAGAAGGGCTATAGCTTTAATCAGTTTCTCAAGATAGTCCCTGAGTGAAATAATGTAAATAACTAGTGACGTGGTTTCTTGTTCCCACTCAAGTAGAGTTTTGATTCAGTAAGTCAGGAGTGAGACCCAGGGCTCTTGATTTTATCTTTAGATTTCCAGGCGATTCTAACACTCAGTCAGTCTTGGGAACCACTGATTGAATTAGAACTCTGCTCAAACTTTAATGAGCCTACGAAGCCCGTGGGGAACTTGTTAACATACAGATTCTGATTTGGTGGGACTGAGATGGGGCTGAAGATTCTGTGTTTCTAACCAGCTCCCAGGTGATTCTGCTGGTGGGTGAACCACACTTTGAGTAGTAAGAACCTAAAGGCATGTTTGTACTTGGGTCAGTCATAGGACATTGGTTAGATTCAAGACACATCTAATTCCTTTGTTTGGGATTGAGATTAAGCACTCAAGCCACTTCCATTTGAGGAACACTATTAGAGGGAAGTTAAGAGATTTAGGGATTGTTGAGTACTTCATGGCCAAGAGTTCTATTTCCAGTCACAGTATGGGTTGTGTAAAGAATGAGTATGAGGTTAGACAGATTCAGGTGTCAATACTGGCCCCAATATTGATCACTTATGTGTATTATTTGGAATGACATCAGCTATAATAACAGAAAGGTTGACTAACAGTGGCTTAAACCAATAGTGGCTTATTTTTCATACATAACAATAAGTTATTCAGTAGTGTTGGAATCCTTGGGTCAACTGCCAATAACTGAGGACCAGGGCTATTTTGTTCTTCTGCTCCATGTCTCTAGTATGTGGCTCTTGTGGGAGAAAAGCACACTGTCAGCATCTTAGGCAGGAAGAAGGATATATTCATTGGAGTAATGTTGCCTAGCCATCCCTAACTGCAAGGAATGTTGGAAAAGAATTATGAACATTTCCAACTTCTATTCTGGAAAGCAGCAAGAGAGATTTGAGAAATGCTGTTAGGTCAGCTCATAATACTATCTTCTACATCATATGATTGTAGGCAATTTGCTGAATCTTTCTGAGCCTCAGTTTTTTCATTTGTAAAATGAGAGAATAGTTCCTTCTAGCAGTAGTTCTCAAAGTGTGGTGTGTGGTTCCCAGACCAGCAGTAACAGCATCACCTGGAAGCCTGAGTACCACCCCATACCTACTAAATCAGAAGCTCTGAGGGTGGAGTCCAGCAATCTGTGTTTCAACAAGCCTTCTAAGTGATTCTGATGTGCACTCAAGTTTGAGAAACACTACCTTAAGGATTGTTGGGAAGACTAAGATGATTGCTTAAGGCGTTCAACATTCAGAGAGTGCTCATAACACATAGCCTGGGAGTCCATATCTTAGACTAAAACAGTGTTGGAGTCTTTTTTTTTTTTTTTTTTTTTTTTTTTTTTGAGATGGAGTCTCTCTCTGTTACTCGGGCTGGAATGCAGTAGTGCGATCTTAGCTCACTGCAGCCTCTGCCTCCCGGGTTCAAGCAATTCTCCTGCCTCAGCCTCCTGAGTAGCTGGGATTACAGGTGTGTGCCACCACGCCCAGCTAATTTTTGTATTTTTAGTAGAGACGGGGTTTCACCATGTTGGTCAGGCTGGTCTTGAACTCCTGACCTTGTGGTCGCCCGCCTTGGCCTCCCAAAGTGCTGGGATTACAGGCGTGAGCCACTGCGCCCAGCTAGAGTCCTTTTTTTTTTGAGACGGAGTCTCACTTTGTCACGCAGGCTGGAATGCAGTGACGATCCTCCTGACTCAGCCCCCCAAGAATCTGGGACTACAGACACACTTCACCACACCCAGATAATTTTTGTACTTTTAGTAGAGTCAGGGTTTCACCATGTTGCCCATGCTGGTCTTGAACGTTGGAGTCCATTTTCTGAGTGCTGACTTGGAATAAGAAGTTTAGAAAATATTCAATAAAGAATTTCCAAGGTTTGTTCTGACTAATATCCAATCCTCCAATCCCTAGGATCCTTTGGAGAGCTGCTCACTGCAGCCTCGACCTCCACCTGGGCTCAAGTGATCTTCCTGCCTCAGCCTTCTGAGGAGCTAGGACTACAGGCATGTGCCACCATGCCCGGCTAATTACAATTTTTTTTTTTTTTTTGTAGATACAGGGTTCTCACTAAGTTGCCTAGGCTGATCTTAAACCCCTGAGCTCGAGCAATCCTCTAGCATTGGCCTCCTAAAGTGTTGGGATTATAGGCATGGTTCACCACACCTGGCTTTCTTTCATTATTGAGGCAGTCAGCATTCAGTTTCAGAAACGATCTCTATCTCAGTATAATGGGAGAAGAGTGTGTAGACAGACTATTGCTCTGCAGGGGCCAGGGGCCTTAAGGTAACACATACACAGACCAGTGGGGTTCCAAGCAGGGTGGAAACCCCTCTGTTGGGGCAACCAAGGAGGCTTTTGCTGCATGGAAGCTTGAGTACTGAGCCGTTCAGGTGGAGCTCCTGCTAGCAAATTCCCTCCTGGATCCTTGGAATCCAGGCCAGATAGAATGATGATGATGGTTAAATGTATGAATCACTGAGTCTGGCCAGGTCCTGCTTAAGTGCTAACTTATTTCATCTCATAGAATCTTCACATCAAACCTAGGAGAAAGGTACTATTATCATCTCTAAGTTACAAAAATGGGAACTGAGCCACCAAATGGCTAAGTGGTTTGCCTAAGAACACAGCGCTGGGCAGACAGAGGAACCAGGGGACTTAGGCCTTGCCAAGGAGGTGACAGTTGGACTGGCCTGGAGGGACTGGCCTGGAAAGAACAGCTACAGTATGGCCACAGGTGAGCCTGAGCGGGTAGACGATGCTCACCTTTCCCTGTGGCCAAGCACTGGCTGTGGGCAGGTGGGGAGGAGTAGGTGGGAGATGCCTGTCCCAGCGAGGACAGGCCAGTCCTAAAAGGGGCTTGTGTGTCCTGAGCCAAGAAGCTTGACTTTTGCCTTCTAAAACAGACATTGACTCAGTCAGGAGAGCTTGAGAAATCTCTCTCCAGGAGGCTGTGGGAGGTAGATTTTCCTTGATTGGCCTGGTCTCCCTTCTGCCCTCAGGGTCTGACTTTCCCCCTTGATCTTCTCTTAACAAGTGGGTGGTTGTGACTCTCCTAGGGTTCCGGGATGGCCAAGGAGGCCCATCTCACCAGACCTGGCCCTGAGAAACTTCACCAGCAAGGCTTTCAAATCGGGTGCGTGATTGCTACGACGTGAGTTCCCTTCCAGTAGGGCCTGCAGCTGCTCTGTCCTCCTGGATGGAGAATCTGACTCCAACTCAGCTTCCCAAACCACACACAATTCCAAGATGAGACTGGTCTTCCTCTGGGGGACCAAGGAGAAATGTGGTAATTTAGACTCTCAAAGACTCTTCCTAAAAAGCTGGGCTGTTAAGGAATCCACTCCAAGCGATCACCATCTGTGGCAGGCAGCTGGTGGAATAGACAGAACTGTTTTGACATCAGATGAACTAGAATTTGAATACTGGTTTAGTCCTGTCTAGCTGTAGGGATTTGAAGGGAAATACAGTTTTTCTTTCGGAAAACCAGGACAATAATATTGTACTAGATTTGTGAGGTTAAAGATATAGAAGGTATAGACAGCTAGGAGGTGTTGGGAGATTGGGGCTTCTATTCTTTGTTTTGCATTATTATTCTTAGCAAAGCCACTTACAGGGTGTCTGAAGAAGCATCCCTTTCTTTGGCTCCAGAGTGTGAGTAGAGTTTATTAGGGTCCCCCTGGCTTTTGGGTCCACCCAGTTTCTTCTGCAGACAATGTTTGGACTGAACTTCACTCTCTGTACAATGAGGAAACCTGTTTTAAAGGCCTCACTTGTCAAAAAAACAGCCATAAAACAGACTTAATGAGACTTCTGGATACAGCCAGGCCCATGTGATTGGCTGCTCCAGGGCAGGCAAGGCTGGAATTCAGGGCTCTGAACGTGCTGGCCGGCTGCGCTCCAGCCCCGGTCTGTGCTGGTGGTGTTCCGTGTGCTCTGTCCGCCTCTCCTTTAACTTCCCTGATAAAATGCTTACTTGGATATTGTTCTGAGATGATTGATTGTTAAATGCCCTGCAAATACAAAACTAGGCTGCTAAGTCACACTCGAGAGAAGTCCAGGAAATCCTCTAGTTGAATGTTACAGCCGGCTTCTCCTGAATAGAGGCACAGCAGCAGATTTCACCTAGCCAACCCGTTTGCTTTTTAAATGGGGAGACCGAGGCCCTGAAAGGGGAAAGCACTTACATAATATGTATGTTTTATTACAACTAAAAAAAAAAAAGACAGAGAGAAAGACGAATAGACAAGGCCCTCGTAGACCAGGAGGATGGCAGACTCACTGGATTCATGCTGGGTGGGGGGCCTCTCTAAGCTCTTTCCCCCACTCTACCTTTCTGCTCCTTCTCCTTTATTCCCCATAGATAGAGAGCAGTTTTTCCTCCTAGTACCAAATGTGGATGGTGGCATATTCTTTCCCTTTTACAGAAATATTAAATCCCCCCAGGTCACACAGCTGTGTTGTCTGGGTGGTGGCTGAACCAGGATTCCATCTCAGGTGTGTCTGATGGCCATCACGATACCACTGTAAAGCTGAGCTCATTGACTAACGCTTAGGAAGTGGAGGGCCTTACATTCTAGATTCCAACCTTCGCCTACAACAAAGGAAACTGCCGGTATTTTCCCATTGCTAGTGACCTCTGCTTTCTTGTGACCAACAAGTAAGCAAGTCAAGTCCATTTGTTAAGCTCTGTGACTCTTTTCATTGTTAGGAAAATTTGGACTTCAAAGTGAGGGAGTTTTGGGGGATGCTTGGCCTCTTTGGGACCGAGAGGGTGAGGACAGCTGTTTTCTTGTTCAATTGGCAGCCCTGGATTAAATTTCTAATTTTCTTCCTCACCTATTTCCTCCCTGTTTCCTATAAGCTTAGCCCTTTTCCTGGCACATAGTAGGTGTTCAATAAATATTTGCTGAATGAATGAATAAAGTGCATTGTGTGAACTGCTTTGTGTGAACACGTTAATTCCTCATTCAGATGTTGGCCCCTGCTTCTCAGGGACCGGGCCTTCTCTGTCCTTCCAGCCTGTGGGGCTTAGCACAGTGCCCTGGCTGGAGAAGGCATTCTGTGTGTACATACTGGACGAGTACATACATGGATAGCTTTTTAGGCTGCTGGTGCTGAATCACACAGCTGAACTTGAACCATATACAAATTTGGGACCTGCTTTTGGAAACGTTCTCATCTTTGTACATTTATAAAGGTGTTCCTGTATTTCTGACCTTGCAGCCACCGGACTTCAGCAGCAGTCATTGTTAGCTGTAATGAACTCAGCTCTCTGAGAGCATCCCACAGGGCTCATGATCTCACTGGAGGAGCACTGGAAACCAGGAGAGAGTGTGGGAGGTCTGGGAGGCAATGCATTGTCGGGCAGATGGTCCCTCAGGAGGAAATGCAGGCAGTGCCTATAGGGTAGTGCCCACCACACAGTGCTCGCCCCCTGAATGTGTTGTGCTAATATTAATGAAAATTAGTTAGAAAGAATTGAATTCAGTTGTGAGGATGGGCGATAATCACCCCTCCTCTAAACCCTCAGCAAGCGTAACATCAGCAATTTTTTTTTCCATGTAATAAGTCAGAGGTATTCTAGTCCAGGGCTGGCATGTGACATAGTGTTGGAGCCCCAGGTTCCTCCTGTGTTATTCTCAAGGTCACCTCTTTGTCCAAGGTGTCTGTTGCAGCTCCAGCCATTAAATCTGTATTCCAGAAAGCAAGAAGAATGAAAGGCAGAGATAAGTGAGAGCATATTTTAGGCACACTCTCTGGAAATTGTATACAACTTTTCCAAGTCTATCCCATTGGTCAGAACTTAATTGACTGGCCAAACACAGCAGCAAGGGAAGCTGTGATTTATTCAGGGTGGCCATGTACTCAGCAAATATCATGGGGTTCTTCTGAGAGAGAAGGGGAGAACCAATATTGGAGGGCAATTAGAGTCAGTAGCACAAACCGGAGCTTCTCTCTCCTCTGTTCCACCGTGTCAAACCTCTGGGCCCGAGAAGGTAGGTATTATCCTCAGTTTAGGTTTAAGCCACCTGAGACTCAGAGGAGTGAATGGCTTGCCCCAGGTCACATAGTTGGGTATTAAAGGAGCTGAGAACGGAATCCACATTTGCCTGGAATATGAAACCTGAGTTATTTGTGTGATTGCTTTTTGATAGAGGTGATGTTTTCCTATGAGCAGGGAGGGCAGCTATATCTGTTTGTGAGCTATGTTAGTGTCCAAATAACTTAAGAAAATGGTCATGCAGTTGTGTGCTCATGCCACCAATGTTTCTTTATGTGCCCACAATGTTTCATTTATCCTTCTCCCACTTGGCAATCTGGTAGCATCCCAACACCACTTTTCTTCTTCATCTCTGTATTTCCTGCATTCCTGCAGGGTCCAGCACAGAGCAGATGCCCCATGTATTGTTGTTGAGTGAATTCACTAATTAATAAAGCTCAGTCACAGCACCATTTGATACCCTGGGTGTTCTCAGGACTCAGGACTATGTGTCCTGAAGAACTAGACCATTCTACATGCATCAGACACACAGAGACCTCAGAAACCCAGTCCCTCCTGTGCTGTCTAGGTTCTTATCCAGTCTCACTGTGCCAGGTACCCAGCTGGATCCAGGGAATCCAGGAAGGGAAAGAGGTGCCACCTGCACTTTGCTAAGGGTGTCATAATTCCAGTTAACCCGCAAAATAGCCTTTTATAGGAGGTGGTAGTCCCACTTTCCTGGTGAGGAGACCGAGACTCAGAGTTGAAATGATTTTTCAAAGGTCATCCAGCTAATAAGGGGTGGAGCCAGGAAGCCTGTTGGACCCCGAATCTTTCATCCATGCATCATTCACTTATCCCCTTTTCAAATCCTTACAGATTTGACAAGCCAGTCATGCAAACAGTTGCTTAGCGTCACCCACACAGCAAAGACCCGGGATCTGGATAAATGAGTTAGAAAACCTGGTTTGCCCTGGTCACATATTACCCAGGCACTCCTTTTTGGCTCCTGCCTCCCAATGTCAACACACACACACACACACACACACACACACACACACACACACACACGTGCACATACTTTTTCTTCAGCTTCCAGGCTTTCTGCTTTTATGTTCCCAGCAAACTCAATTATTCCTTGCAGTGAAGTTGATGGGACTTTTACCCTATCCCTTCAGTGCCTCCTTCCCCTGGCCACCTTTCCTTTTGGCAAACCTTCCCCAGTAGCCAAGGGCTGTGTGAAGGGAAGGCAGCCCCAGGCTAAAGTGCACATGGGAGGCTGTGCCGTGAGTCAGCCTGGCTGGGAAGGGAGCCTCAAGCTTCCCGGGTTACAGGGGCCTCCAGCTCTTGGGGGTGATGAATCTTCTGGCTCACTTCAGCACACACATCAGGGGCAGCCTTCAAGTCTCGGGGCTGCCCTGCATCGTTCCAGGGGGCTTTTCCATCAGTCTTTTATTGCCTCAGTCCCAGAAGCGTGGCACATAGTGGAACTCCTTTCATAGCCAGGGAGAGGAGGGCCTGCCAGTTTAAAGGAAGGATCTGGATTCAGAAAGCCAGCGAATGCCAGAGGAGGCTTTGGTCTCCTCCAGGCCTGCACAGTTCATCCGTTTACGTTTTCAGAAAGCCCTTCATGGCCAAATCCTTTCCTACCCGCACCGCGCCCTCCTGCTCTCCTGCTGAGTTAGGAGCATGCTGGCTTTCTTTTTGTTCTTGGAACCCCCATGCTTGCTCAAGTCCTAGGGCCTGTGCTCCAGGCGGTCCGTGCCTGGAAATCTCTTCTCCTATCTCCATGTGACTGGCTCCTTGTCACCCAGATCTCGGCTTAATGACGTTTTATCAAAGGTCTTTCCAGGACCCTCAGTAGAGTAGCTACCAGGGTCCTCTCCATTGTAATGTGTATCTTTTTTTTTTTTTTTTTTTGAGACGGAGTCTCTCTCTGTCACCCAGGCTGGAGTGCAATGGCATGATCTCGGCTCACTACAACCTCCGCCTCCTGGGTTCAAGTGATTTTCCTGCCTCAGCCTCCTGAGTAGCTGGGACTACCGGTGTGCACCACCATGCCTGGCTAATTTTTGTATTTTTAGTAGAGACAGGGTTTCACCATGTTGATCAGGGTGGTCTCGAACTCCCGACCTCATGATCCGCCCACCTTGGCCTCCCAAAGTGCTGGGATTACAGGCGTGAACCACCACGCCTGGCCACATGTATCTCTTTTATGTATTTTAAAAAGCGCCCCCTCCCCTCAGTAGAAATCTTATGAGCGCAAAGACCCCTCATGAAGATAGGATGCTTAGAATCGTGGTTCAGAGGAGAAGTCAGCTGACTTTTCCTGCAAAGGGCTAGAGAGTATCTATTTGAGGCCTTGAGAGCCTAAAGGATCTCTGTTGCAACCACTCAATTCTGCCATTGTTGTGTGAAAGCAGCCTCAAAGTAAACAAATGGTTGTGGTCATGCACCAATAAAACTTTATTTAGGCCAGGCCCAGTGGCTCACACCTGTAATGCCAGCACTTTGGGAGGCCAAGGTGGGTGGATCACCACAGGTCAGGAGTTCAAGACCAGCCTGGCAAACATGGTAAAACCCCGTCTCTACTAAAAATACAAACGTAGCAGGGTGTGGTGGTGGGCGCCTGTAATCCCAGGTTCTCGGGAGGCTGAGGCAGGAGAATCACTTGAATCCGGGAGATGAAAGTTGCAGTGAGCTGACGTCACACCACTGCACTCCAGCCTGGGGGACAAGAGTGAAACTCCATCTCAAAATAAATAAACAAAAATAAGAAAATAAAACTTTATTTATAAAAACAGATGGCCTATAGGCTGTAGTTTGCAGATCCCTAGTTCAGAGCATTGATTGGTTCTAGAGAAGAAAAACTGAATTCTACCTCTGCTCCTCTTTATCTTGGAGTCTTGAGCAAGTTTCTTACCTTCTCTGTGGCTCAGTTTCCCCAGCTCACCTAAATATTGGAGATAATAACACAACTTGTCTCATGGATTGTATTGTGAGCATCATTTACATATCTGGCTTATTAGTTGCTCACATCTTCAGCATATTACGTGGTTCCTGCACAGAGTAGGGACTCGACATATATATTTGTTAACAAATGAATGGCTGAGCACCTACTAGGACCCACGCCTTGTGCTGGGCTCTGGGGAGATATTGGTGAACCAGAACTTGTTGGGGTCACTGCACTCAAGGTGGTCAGAGTTTCAGGGTTAAGGTCAAAATGGTTTTTACACCAGAGGCAGCAAAAGCCACATCCCGTGGGCAGGTGATATTGATGAGGCCGGGAGGGAGTAACGGGGCAGTGGAAAAATGAAGTGTGTATATCCCCTCTAAATTGTAGCTATGAGTCAATGCAGAACCAACTTGCAGGCACTCTGATTATCCAAAGAAGCTGGAAATCTGGATTTTTAAGTGCAGTGTCTCATTTTTTGCAAGTAGCTGACTTGATAAAGCAAAAAGAAACCAAACCAAAACAGCACCGGATGGGCTCAATAGACACAATTGCAGCAATAGCGTGTTGAATTCAGCCATCTCTTTTTTTTTTTTTTTTTTTTTTGGAGAAGGAGTCTCACTCTTGTTGCCCACGCTGGAGTGCAGTGGTGCGATCTCGGCTCACTGCAGCCTTGCAACCTCCACCTCCCAGGTTTAAGCGATTCTCCTGCCTCAGCCTCCTGAGTAGCTGGGATTACAGGTGCCCACCACCATGCCCAGCAAATTTTTGTATGTTTTGTAGAGACAGGGTTTTACTGTGTTGCCCAGGCTGGTGTTATATTCCTGATCTCAGATGATCTGCCTCCCTCGGCCTCCTGAAGTGCTGGGATTACAGGTGTAAGCCACCACATCCGGCCCAGTCATCTCCTTTTCACAACCTTATTTTATGGATAAAGAGACTGAGGCTCAGGAGGGCCACATGACTTCCCCACAGGCACACAGCTAGCATGCAGAGGAGCTACAGGTTTGAATCCAGGTTCATGTGATTCCCTAAACATGGATTCTATGCCAGTTGCCTCAATTGCCGTTAAAGGAAGAGGGAAGAGGTGGCCAAGAAGGGAAGGTATGTTTTGGTGTCTCAGAGCTCAGCATTTCTCAGAATATCATTCTTAGCCTATTTTCCAGCTTTGAGGATTGGCTGCAGGACAGTCACCTTCGGAGGGTTCACCTCCAAGGCAGTGCCTGCCCTGACAGGACCTGGCCCCTGGCCCTTTCCACACTCATCTTTGTGTTTCTCTCCAGCTTTGCCTTCTCCAGCTCATCTGTATGTGTTTTCTACAGTCTTGGCATTAGTGTCCAGCTTCCTTCAGCAGAAGAATGTGAACCTTGAGGGTCCTTTTGCCTGTCATGGCCCTAGATGACCCATGAGAGGGAGGGTGCAGGGAGGCTTGAAGATGTGACTTTCTCCCACAGTGGGGTCTAGTGGGGAGGACACTGTTTTTGGAACCAGGGAGACCTGGATTAGAACCCTGACACTGCAGCCACTCACCAGCTGGGTGACCTTGGAGCAGTTCCTTCACCTCTCTGAGTTTCAAGTAGGTGCAAGAGCCTGCTCCTTGCAGAAATGTGCTGAGATAATGTATGCACCCACCTGGCACAATGCTGGAATGCCATGGACACTCCCACATGGCAGTTCTGTTCTTTTTATCCCCCTCCTCCCCTCTGCCTGTCCTCTCCTGCTCCTGGCCCAGCTAGCCCCTGCTGTGGCTCTCTTGCCTCAGTACTGAGAGAAGTTTGTGGAACCTGGGTGGGTCTCTGCCCCTGCGTCCCCTCTCCCCAGTGCCAAGGCTGCAAGAGGAGGGTGTGGGCATAAATTACACCCATCTGTTCCCTCCCTGCTGAGGGAGGGCAGGAGGGAAACACATGGGCCTTAGTGGGTGTTGTACTTTCCATGTGCAGCCGCCAGGAACAATGGAAGGGAAGAATGTGAGCTCGGTGAGGAGTCCACCACACCCTGCCTTCCAGTCCCCTTCCCCCTTTCAGGGATCGTAGGAACCAGCTTCTTTGAGGGCCCTGCTTCTGGGGAACAGAACTCACCCTTCTTGCCAACCCAGAAGTCCTCAATGTTGGTCATGTGCATCTTCTAGTTTATTGTTGATTACTAACATTGTTCATTCATTTATTCATTCTACAAGTGTTTACTGAGCATGTACTCTGGGCCAGCCAATGCGTGGGCTAAGATTTGGAGTGAGTTTTGTGCCTTTGAAGAGCTCACCATTTAGCAGGAGAGACCACATGGAAAGCAGCCAAATTTGGGTGCTGTGGCAGAGGTGCATGTGCTGGGCTGTACAAATACAGATGAGGGACGGCTTCCCGGGGTGGTCCTTTGATTCCAGTAAGAGTTATCACGGATAAAGGGAGGGTGCGTATCAGGCAAAGAATGCATGGAGTGTTTGGAGGCGCGGTGTGCAGAGCTTGCAGGAGGCAGTGTGCGGTGAGTTGTGGGGACTCCTACGTTGTCTGATCCCTCCTTTTCTGCTGGATCCTCCCCATCAACGTTTACCCGCACTCAGGTCTCTCATCTTACAGCAAACCCTCACTCCACCTCACATCTTACTCCAGCTCCTGACTCATCAATTTCCCTCCCAGCCAAATTTTTCAAATAAATGTTCTGTGCTATGCGCATCGTCTCCATTTCCCTCCCCCTCCAATCACGCCCCAATCCACCTCTACCTTTGCTGCTTCACAAGGTCATCATGACCTCCACATTCCATTGTCCGTTGGTATTTCCCAGTTGTTTGGTTAGATTTTCTAGTGGCATTGATGACGGTGGAACATTCTGTCCTGCTGACCCTCCCTCTTCTCATGCATAGAGACCCCACAGACTCATGGTTTTCCTGCTGGAGAGCCTTGGCTGCTCCTTCTCAGCCTCCTTTACTTGTTTTCACCTTTAGCTACCAGATCTTTATACACTGGGGTTCATGAAGGCTGGAGTTTATTTTATCTGCCAGCTTTCTTTTTACTTTATCTCTTGGTTGACTATTCAACTCCCATACTTCAATTACCTTCTCTGAGCTGATAGCTCCCACACCTATTTCTTTCTGCAAAGATCTCTAGTTTCAGACCGGTAGAAATAGGAGCTTAGCTAACATTTCCACTTGAATACTGCACTAACTTCCCAAACTCAGCCACTGAGTTCGTTACCCTCCCGCAGTCCTGGTACTCTCCACCCTCCCCACCATCCCTCCATATCTTGGCACTATAAGTTCTACACCCTGGGAAACACCTCAGCCCAGGCACACTGGTATGGTTAGTCACTCTACTAAAATCCAAAGGCTAAACCCCAAATCTCTTCCATGACTTAAAAGGCTCTGTGTGATCTGACCCCTGACCTGCCTCATTGTGCACCCCTCTCTCCTTGCTCTTGGGTCCTAGACTGTGCTCCTGTACCACCCAGAGCATCTGTGCATATCATTGTTCCCTTTGTTGAGACCATTCTTCCTCCCCTTTTTCTTAACTCCCTCACCCTTCAGATATCAGATTAAACATCCCATCCTTTGCTCAGAAAAATCCATTTTTTTTTTTTTTTTTTTTTTTTGGTATGGAGTCTGGCCTGTCACCCAGGCTGGAGTGCAGTGGTGCAATCTCGGATCACTGGAACCTCCGCCTGCTGGGTTCAAGCGATTCTCCTACCTCAGCCTCCTGAGTAGCTGGGATTACAGGTGTGTGCTACCATGCTCGGCTAATTTTTGTACTGTTAGTAGAGATGGGGTTTCTCCATGTTGGCCAGGCTGGTCTCAAACTCCTTACCTCAAGTGATCCACCTGCCTCGGCCTCCCAAAGTGCTGGGATTACAGCTGTGAGCCACTGCACCTGGCCAGAACAATCCATTCTTGACGTGGCCAGAGAGGGCAATGTGACCCCCATTACACACTCTCTCAGTATTACCCCTCTTTCAGCTCTGTAGCTGTTGCAGTCGCATGATTAGTCAGTGTTGGTCTCCTCATGGAGAATATAACTTGAACACTAGCTGGGACCATGTTTATCTTATTTCCCACTGGAGTCCCTGGCCTTCACCTAGAGGGTGGGATGTGGTCAGTGTGCAATGAGCAAGCTGCTTGGGTGCACCTAAAAACAGAGGCTTTGGCCATGGGGCAGCATAGCCAGATGTGTGTTCTAGAGAGAATGTTTTGGCGGCTCTGTGGAGGATGGATGACAGAACCTCTGCCTGTGGAGGGAGGCTGGTTAGGCATTTTGGGTGAGAGAGGATGGTGGTATGGATTGGGAAATCAACCAATGCTTCTGAGGATGTCGCCATATCCCTATGAGGTAGACTCTTCACAGCGCGGAGACCGACTTCACAGGGGCACTAATGACACTGGAGGAAGTGAAGATATTTCCCAGGCTTGGGGCTTGGGGGCCTGGGTATCTGGTTGGAGAGTCCCATGTTTAGCCATGATAAATTCTGTCTTAACTATGGCAAATGTAAACCAGTCAGTGTGACTGTCGTGATGTCTTGAATATCTGGTCCTTTATATTTTTGTTAAAACTACATTTTCTGGGCTGGGTGTAGTAGCTCACACCTATAAATCCCAGCACTTTGGGAGGCTGGAGGGAGGAGGATCACTTGAGGCCAAGAGTTTGAGACCAGCCTGGCCAACATAGTGAAACCCTGTCTCTACTAAAAATACAAAAAATTAGCTGGGCCTGGTAGCAGCTACTTGGGAGGCTGAGGCACAAGAATCCCTTGAACCTGGGAGGCGGAGGTTGCAGTGAGCCAAGACTGCGCCACTGCACTCCAGCCTGCACAACAGAGCAAAAACAAAAACAAAACAAAACCCAGCACAAAAACACATTTTCTGGCATCCTCCTTGGATTCATTTTATCACCTTCCCCTGCAACCACCTCCTCGACCCCCAAGTCCTGGCAGAAAAGAGCAGGACCCATAGTGAGTTAAAGAGAGGGATACTTTTTTTTTTGAGACAGAGTCTGGCTCTGTCACCAGGCTGGAGTGCAGTGGCGTGATCTCAGCTCACTGCAACCTCCAACTTCCTGGTTCAACTGATTCTCCTGCCTCAGCCTCCCGAGAAGCTGGGATTACAGGCAGGCGCCACCAAGCCCAGCTGATTTTTATGTTTTTAGTAGAGAAGGGGTTTCACCATGTTAGCCAGGATGGTCTTGATCTCCTGACCTCAGGTGATCCAGCTGCCTCGTCCTCCCAAAGTGTTGGGATTACAGGTGTGAGCCACCACGCCTGGCTGGAGAGGGATACATTTTTAAGACTCACATAGAGTGCTGTTGCCCAGGAAAATGAACACGACTTGTCTAGGGTTAGGATGTCTGGGTTCTCCCTCAGCATGGTGTCTCACCAGCTCTGTGACCTTGGGCAAGTCCCTGTCCCTCTTTGGGCTTCCCCACCCCCACTTCTACAAGGAGCTGAAATTATGCGGTGGTTCTCAATACTGGCTGCATATTAGAATTGACTGAGGAAATTTAAAAAATACAAATGATCAGACCCTGTTCCCTAGAGACTCAGATTACATTGACTTTTTTTTTTTTTTTTTTTTTAAAGCTTACCAGCTAATTCTTAAAAGCAGTGAGGTTAAGAAGTATCCAATCACATGATCTTGGACACTATTCAGCTCGGTGAGTCTAACCGAAGAATGGCCCCATTTAGACCCCAAGGGCCCCCTGGTGAGACCTGCCTTCCATCTCTGCACTCTAAGTCACCTGCACATGCCTCGTGGTCCTGGACTTGAACTTAGGCTCTAGGGTAGCAGCAGAGGCGGTCTTCTGCTGAGGCTAAGAAGCAGAAATGCAAAGTCTGTTGAGAGAGGGGGATGGGTAGGAGCTGTGTGAGGAGGAACAGATTGAAGCTATTAACATTTGATCAGTTTGGTATTGTTCTTCTGGAGACCACAGCTTATGCGGCTGCTTAATAAATGTCTGGTCAGGGTCCAATCCAGAGCTGCCAAATGGGTGTTGCTATGGTTTCCGAGGAGTTTGTTTCCCACACAAGTTACTGCTTCCCACCCCAAACTGTGAAACACCAGAGTCTTCCCTCTGCTCCTTAACTCTGTCCCTTCCTAGAGGAGCCTGTGGTGAGAGAGAACATCTGCCTGGGCCTGGGGGACACACACGGGTCTCGTGTGACTGGCCGTCAGTGGCACCTGCCTGTGCCAGCTCCCTGAAGCAGGCCTTGTGCCTTCCCACTCTGTGCAATTTCAGGTGGGCCCATCGCTCAGCTGGTGTCATCTCAGCCTCCCAGATTTTAGGGTCTCTGCATCTGACCCTGTTGTCCTTGACTGGAGAAGAGGGGTGGTCAGAGGCTACGTTAGCAGGCAGTGTGTTTGTGTGTGTGTGAGTGTGTGCTTGTCAACACGAGCCAGTGTGGGGGTTCTCGTGACTCAACACGTGAAGATAAATGTGTGAATGTGTATGGATGAGTGTGTGTCGGTGCTTGTGTGTACTTGTCGGTGTGCGGAGTATGGCTCTGTGTTTGTCAGTGTGTATGTCTGGTGATGTATGTGTGGATGGCAAGAACTGGGAGTGAGCACGGGCAATGCTGCTAAATCTGAAAATGTATTATGACAGATTTACAATAAATGAACACTTACAAAGTCCAACATACAAACACTCGTGTAAATGCCATCCAGCCTAACAGATAAAATGTTACCAAATACAGCTTAAACTTTCCCTGCGTTCTTTCCTGATTGTATCTCCCTTTTCCTCCCTTTTCCTCCTGTTGTGAATTTGTGAATTGATCTTTCCCAGAATGATACACTCTGTTTCAATAAGTAAGCTTCTTCCAGTGTTGAATCTTTCTCTAAAACATAGTCAATGAAGTGTGAGTATGGTGTGTATGTGCGCAAGCCCATATGTTGGGTGGCTGTGAGTTGTTGGGGAAGACTGGAGAAAAAGAATTTGAAAGTGCTCTCAGCATGCAGTGGCATCTTCTAGATGTGTGACGGAAGGGAAACTTCCTAACCTCTCTGAGACTGTTTTTCATCTATAAAATGAATGAGATGAGAATGAAATTATATAAGATGTGTGAAAAGAAATGGCACATAGTTGGAACTCAACCAGTTCTGATTTTTTTAAAAAAATGTATCTATTAAAGAGGAGGCAAGGCCAGCCAACCTTGCAGAAGGAAAACAAACAAATCAGACATACATTATTCAGGGGAGGTGGAGGTGTGCTGGCTTGAGCTGGATCCTTCCCTCCCTCTCTTTTTCTTTTTGATTCCTTAGGACTTTCCTCTTTTGGAGCGGTGGTATGTCAGCACAGTGGAAATTCGAATAGGGGCAGTTTTTGTCCCAACAAAGGACTGGACTGTGATGGAAGGTCCCCTGCCTGTTCACTGCTAAATAGAACTGCATGTAAATAAGATCATTTGAGCTGTGGTGGGTTTTGAATACACAACCATCAAGGTAAATGAGCATTCCAAAGAAATCCTGGCTCTCAGACAATGCCTGAGTTAAAATGAAACTTGCTTGAAAATTAAAGCCAATGTTCAGGCTTCAGGTCATGTGAGGAAATGGGAGGCATTTGCCGGTTCATTCACCCATGCGCTCATTCACCTAGCTGCATCCTGGATTTACAAAGGTGGAAAGGATCATTCTAGCAGGAGAGAGAGAGACAGTGAGGAGTTAAAGATAAGACATTTGCTGCTATCTCGGAAAATATACAGCCTAAGTGGAAACGCACAGCAACCCTCCCTTGCTTCTGTTCTGACTGTGTCTACTATGTGCCTCAGACCGGCTAGACACCAGGAGGAACAGAGAAGCTGAAGACATGACGTGCCAACCAGCTAATGTAAAGATAGGATAAGTGTGAATAAAGAGTTGACAGAGGAGGGTTAGAAGGACACTGCCATTTATTGAGCACTCACTTTGTACCAGGCACTATGTGGGGGTCTGGTGGGTTGTGGGGGTAGCATTTAGCCTAAATTAACCATTGCAACAATTGTTGAGTCAGTATTATTATCCCTGTTTTACAGGTGAACAAACTGAGTCTTAGAGGGGTTAAGGTCTTTGCCTGGTAAACATCAGCACAGGGAATCAAATCCAAGTGTTTCTGACTTTCCAGCCTAGCACTGGTTTTTGCAAATAATTCTGTGGCAAGAACTATATGACTAGCGTGAGGTAGTTTCCAGTGAATAAGAAAGCAAGAATCTGGCCGGGCGCAGTGGCTCACGCCTGTAATCCCAGCACTTTGGGAGGCCGAGGTGGGCGGATCACAAGGTCAGGAGTTCGAGGCCAGCCTGGCCAATATGATGAAACCCCGTCTCTACTAAAAATACAAAAATCAGCTGGGCATGGTGGCGCATGCCTGTAGTCCCAGCTACTCGGGAGGCTGAGGCAGAAGAATTGCTGGAACCCGGGAGGCAGAGGTTGCAGTGAGCCGAGATCGCACCACTGCACTCCAGCCCGGGGCGACAGAGTGGGACCCCATCCCCCCGCACCCCCCCCCAAAAAAAAAGGGAGCAAGAATGTGGTACTGACATGAGTACTGAGAAAATCCAAATCCAATGCAAGATAAAATGTTTTGGTTAGCATTTATCTAAGAAAGTTTTGGAAAGCAAGTTGTATATTTGGCTTTGAAGAAGTAGTCCTTTCATTCCAGGAACCTCAGCTTTGTTATTTTCTGAGGCTATGGTTTAAATCACATATTCCTGGTACATTGTGAAGAAGTTTCTTGAGACAAAGGCAAGAGGGAAAAAATATGATCTGTCATGGCATGGGAGCTGAAATTCAAGTTTTAAAATCACTTCTAAACAGCTCTGAGCTTCTATGATTTGCTAGAATCACAGAAAGACTTATGTAGCTCAAGTTGGAGAAAGCATGTCAAGATTGCTAAGGCTGCAAAGAGATTTTTCAATTCCTTTTTAGTTTTTAAAATTATTATTAAATTAAAAAAAAATGAGCCCAAGATGAGCTCCACAGTTTCCTCAGACGGGATTAGATATGACTTTCAGGTTTTCAAAGTTCAATTCAATTTGAGTTTCCTGTGTCCTAAAAATGTCTTCAATTAAAAGCCAGAAAAAAATGTATTTTTTTCATCTTCATCAAACTGAAGAAAAAAAATGGCTGAAGGGATTTTATTCAAACTTTTCCCCAAAATTCACCTTTTGCCAAGACCCAGCATGGAAAATTTCAGCGCAAAAGGATCACTCTTTGGCAAGTTCCCTGAGCTAATGAAAACAGAGGGGCATAAAGGGAGTCTGTGTGCAGCTCTAACTATAGTGGTCACTGCAGCCCACATTGTGTGAGAAGAAGGGCCTCATTCAATAACCCCCCTTTTAAGTCTTTTTTATCATCAATATGGATGAGACTTAGATTTGACGTGGTCACCAAACAAAAGGCCCTCACTTTATGAATACAATCTGGGTAATGGCATTATTTCAAGTGGCTTCGCTCAGTTATGACTGGCTTTGGAATAGTTATTGTTGATTCATTCATTCATTCATTCACTCACTCATTCATTGTACAAGTATTTACTGAGTGCCAGCAATGTGTGAGGCACTTTAATACATGTTGGGAATGCTATGGTGGCAGGCATAAGCGAGGCAGTTCCTGCATTCGTGGGTTCGTGGGAGGAAAAGAAAAACAGATTAAATTACAAACTGTGACAAATTCTGTGAGGCAACAGAAGAGGGTGCTGAGATAGAGAAAACCGGGTTTTGTGGTGATAGGAGGCCTACATTGTACTGGAGGCTAGTGAAGGTCTCATATGCATTCATTCATAATTTAGCAAACATTTAGTGAGTGGCCGCCATGCTCTGGAGTCTATACTGATCTAGACACCATTTTTGCCTTCAAGGTGCTCCTAGACCAGTGGGAGAGCAGGCAGGTAAGTAAAAAGCTCAGATGCTGGGTGACAAGCGCTTTAAGGCAGGCATGTGCCATATCTAATGTGGAAACAGGAAGGAGATCTAAAATGCTGCGGTTGGTGGTGGTCAAAGAAGGTTTCTCTCAGGGGGAACGATTCAACAGACATTTGTGATAGTTGATGTTTGGCAAGATAGAGGTGAATGAGAACTAGGGCTGCTTTCAAGGAGTCTGAAGTCCAGTCTTGCTTCCGGAGTCACCTCTTTGAGAGCCTGGATCCTGTGGTGTCTGACCCGCCTCTCCAGTAGTAAGCATGGAGCTTGAGTCAAAAGAGGTGCTTAGTAAATAACAGGTCCCTTTCTCTGACATCTCATGGCACAACTCTTTGGATTTAGTCTAGTGGTGAAGAACTTGGCTACTGCAGTCAGATTGCATGCGTTCAAATTCCAGCACCCAGCTGTGTTACCTTGGGCAGTTTTTCTCTGCACTACAGTTTCCCTACATACAAGGCAGGGATGATAATGATACCTGCAGACTAGGGTAGTTATAAGGACTAAATGAGATCATGCTTATATGATCACTAAAGATATGACCAGCATACCTCATCCCAATGTGTTTTTAAGTGCTGCTTATCACCTTCCACAACCCACCCCCACCCCCCATTCACTCAATCCAACAATTATGGATTGAGTATTTTCAGTCTTAGGCATTGTGCTGGGTGCTTAGATTCAGAAAAATCTTGCCAGACTCCGGGGTCTCCATCCCCATAGATGGTTAAATTCCCAAATCTCCCAAAATGGAAGTTCTTTGCCTCTTCTACCCAGATAAATAGGTATTTGCTATCTCTGGATTAGCGGTGAATGTCTGTTCATTTTTCATCAGCACATCTGGTTTTTAGGTGAAAAGCTGCCAGGAATTTTGAAACATCTTGTTACTTTAGACATCAGAAGGCAGGGAGATTTCCCATTATTAAATGGATGTGAAAACTTCTTTGTGCCCCAGGGCTAGGGCAAACCTGAGATTTCATAGGTCAGTGAAAGCTCACCATCATTGTTTTTGCTTGGTAATAATTTTATTTAGGGAGGAGGAAGAAGAGAGGGTAGGGGGTTTCCAGAATGATAAAGCAATGTGCCAATGTCATGCAGTTTCGAGAGGCCACTGAGGTGGTAGGGAAAGCATTGCCCATGTGTGGCTCCATCTCCCCGAGCCTCAGTTTCCCATTGTGTAAGATAAGGATAACAGAACTTCCTGTGTAGTGTGGGTTGAGGTTTCAAGGAGAGCATGAATGTGGAAACACATCAGTGCCTTTTGCCTGCTAAATGCTTCTTGTTTATTTCCAGCCCTGCCACATGTTTGCAAATCTTTGCAATGTGCAGTTGGAAGGCAAAGTGGGGATAGAGAAGGCAGATTTGATTTGAGAGTTTGTGCACACAGTGGTGGGTCTGAGTTGGGGGCCTGGCTAGAAACAAGTGGCTTTTTTGGTGGCACCTTGTGCGCCTTCTCTTGAGACAGAGGCTCTGTAACCCCCCTCGGCATCAAACTTCGCACTACCCTCCCTTTGCCACGGCATCCTTCCTTCTCGTCTCCCGGGAGGCCGGACAGAGAACCCAGGCCCAGCCCCAGCCCAGCGAGCCTGAGCCAGACTGCCTCGGGCCGGTCTTGCTCGGCCTCCCTGGGGAATCTGGGAGGCTCAGCCAGGCCTGAGTCGGCCTGGGTCCCGAGGTCAAGGTCGGGGTCAGGGTCGGGGTCCGGTCGTACGCCCTAGCACTGCCTGCGGTGGGGCGCGCACAGTCGAGCGCGGGGCCTCCCCGCAGGCTGCGCTGCCTGCCGGGCGGCCTCGGGAACTGACCAGGCCGCGTGTGAGCGCCGGGATTCCTGATCCTGCCTTAAATATGCCGGTTATTTTTATCTCCCTACGTCAGGCAGCGAAGGCCATCCCACCGGTGGCCCAGGCGGCTGCTACACAATGTTTCCCTTTAGTCGGGAGGGGAAATGGAGGGAGGCCAGACTTCCTGATCACATGGTGCTGAAGTCAATGAAAAAAAATTAAGGGGGACCCCTCCCTTTTTCTTCAATGCCTGATCCAGATTCCCCCCTCCCCGCTCCCCCGACCCACCCCCTCTGGGCTCCGCGCGTCGGAGGGAAGCGCAGCCTCCCAGGCGGAGGGCCAGCGAGGCAGGAGAGCGCGCGCAAACATAAACACGAGACTGTTGCAGTAATTGGTGGCTCTGAAAACACTGAGGAAATGAGAGGCTTGTACGAAACATCAGCCGACAAGAAACGGGGTGATGTCAGACAGCCTTCCAGGATTAGAAACCCTTAAAAGCTCCGAGCCCGCGGCCGCTGCGGAAAACTCGGCTCTCCCGCTGTCCCGGGTAGGAAGCCGGGATTTCGCTTTTGCCCGACTCCCTCGGGGCACTCGCCCTCTCCTCTCTTCCTCGCTTTCTCGCTTTCTCTCTTTCTCTCTTTCTCTTTCTTTCCTTTCTCTCTCTTCTTTTTGTTTCTTTTCTTCTTTCTTTCCTCTTTTTCTTTTCCTTTTCTTTTCCTGTCTTTCCTCTTCTCCCTCTTGCGCCCCCCCCCCCACCCCCAACTTTTTCTCTTTCTGTTTCTCTGGCTGTCACTGTCTCTCTGTCTTCTCCCTGTCTTCTCTCTCTTCGTTTTTTTCTTTAACCTTCTTTATTAAAAAGAAAAGAAGAGGCCACATCAGAAGATTTCCATTTCTAAGGCACCTTGTACTTTTATATCTTTTCCCTCCTTTGAAACACCAAACAGGACCCAACTCCTAAACAAGTCCAAAGGGACAAGTAAAACTGGGGTGTCAGTCGCTTGAGTTTGTTATAACTTTCTCTTCTTCTCAGTGCCCTTCCTCACCCCCCTTTTCGGATTAGAAGTTCATATTGCAATAATTCGCCAACATGTTGGAAGGGCTGGAAATAAACAAAAAGCATTTACCAAGGACAACAGCCCACCCACCCTGAGATGGGGAAAATGCTTGCAAAAATCTGGCCGTTTCAGAAGAGAATATAGATTTCCTGGTAAAATATATCCCAGCCACCCAGCTAGTAACACTAGTGGCTGTTGCCCCATTTTCTGTTCATAGTATAATTAAGACTAAAAGTACTTACACGTATGTGTATACACACACACACACACACACACACACACCCTCCCTCCTCCAGGCCACAGGGCAGGGTAGCTAACAGCCAGTGAGCAGGGAGGATCTTGTACCACATCCAGCAGGAACTTGCGTGTGTCTTAAAGTTGGAGGCCAGTTACTCAGTGACATCTGTTCAGTGACATCAAAAGTGATGTCTGTCAAGCCTTTTTCTCTTCGTGTCTGCCAGGATTAATGAGGCAATGTTTGGAAAGGGCTTAAGCCCCCACCAAGAAAGGCACCCAAGACAGCTTTTCAAAGAATGATTTATGTCCAGCTTTATCTAAATAGGAACCGAAAAAGCATTTTTCTTGTCTGTAGAGCAGGTGAACTCAACACCTGACTTCTTGCTCAGGTGCATTTCAGAAGCTTTCAAATCTGCCTTATTAATTGGTCTGATACCTCTTTACCATGAAGGCACTTTTTTTTTTTTTCTTTCTTCCTGAGACCCCAGAAAAGGTCATATCAAGGCTGAGTTTGTACAACCTTGGAGGAATATGACTGGTTCCAAAGACTTGGTTTCCTTCACTGCTGCTTATGGTGAGAACAATGTCCCCCAACCTGAACCCTCCTCCCTCCCCTGCACACTCATAAATCTTGTGGTGATTTAGTTCCCCTCAATGCTTGACACTCCTAAGCTGTAGTAATTTGAGCCAAGCATACTTTCTGGTTTTATCCAGTATACCTGCGGTTATACCACTCACCGAGAAGTGGATCACAGCTCTGTTTTCAACTTCTTTTTTTTTGAGACACATTTTCACTCTTGTTGCCCAGGCTGGAGTGCAATGACATGATCTCGGCTTACCGCATCCTCCGCCTCCCGGGTTCAAGCCATTCTCCTGCCTCAGCCTCCCGAGTAGCTGGGATTACAGACATGCGTCACTGCACCTGGCCAATTTTGTATTTTTAGTAGAGACGGGATTTCTCCATGTTGGCCAGGCTAGTCTTGAACTCCCGACCTCAGGTGATCCACCCACTTCAGCCTCCCAAAGTGCTTGGATTACAGGCGTGATGGACTGTGCCCGGCCTGTTTTCCACTTCTTATGGGGACATTTTCCATCTCTGATATTTGTCTTGTGCTTTGCAATCCCAGGGGGCAGCCTCATCTCTTCCTAGTCCTTATGTTGGGTAAAAGTGTCTCTACTCCTGCCACTGCTCCACCTAGCCACTTTGGCGTCTCCCTTGCTGTTTTGTTTTGTTTTGTTTTGTTTTTTTCCTTTTGAGACAGAGTCTTGCTCTATCACCCAGGCTGGAATGCAATGGCGCGATCTCCGCTCACTGCAGCCTCCACCTTCCAGGTTCAAGTGATTCTCCTGCCTCAGCCTCCTGAGTAGCTGGGATTACAGGTGCCTGCCACCACGCCTGGCTAATTTTTGTATTTTTAGTAGAGATGGGATTTCACCATGTTGGCCAGGCTGGTCTTGAACTGCTGACCTCACTCGATCCACCAACCCGCCTCAGCCTCCCAAAGTGCTGGGATTACAGGTATGAGCCACTGTGCCTGGCCATCATCATGTGTTTATACCAAACTTCTCCCCGTCCCCTCAGTGAACTCCCCACAGCCCTCTGGGCCCCCCATGCTCTTAGATCTGCCCTCCTCTCTGCCGGGAATGTTCTTTTCCTCTCTTCACTGCCTAGTGAACTTCTTCCCACTCAAAGCCCAGATACAGTGCTGCTGCTTCTCCAAAGCGTTCCCAAGTTTTTCACCCAGAGCCAGCCTCCTCTGTCTTCCATGCCTTGCTGTCCGCTCACACTCCCATAGTGGTGTATGTTGGACTCCAGCGATCTTTTGACCTGCCTGTCTCCTTCACTGGAAGGGCTCCTTCCAGTGTGGGCTTCTCCACACAGGGATTGGGTCTTGTTTGACTTTGTGTCCTAAGAGTACATAGAGCCCTAATGCATGGAAAGGCTCAGTGAATGTTTGTTGAATGAATAAAAGAATGAATGAAGCCAGGCTTGGTGGCTTACATCTGTAATCCCAGCACTTTGGGAAGCTGAGACAGGCAGATCACCTGAGGTCAGGAGTTCGAGACCAGCCTAGCCAACATAGTGAAACCCCGTCTCTACTAAAAGTACAAAAATTAGCCGGGCATGGTGGCAGGCACCTGTAATCCCAGCTACTCAGGAGGCTGAGGCAGGAGAATCACTTGAACCCGGGAGGCGGAGGTGGCAGTGAGTTGAGATCGTGCCACCGCACTCCAGCCTGGGTGACACAGCTAGACTCCATCTCAAAAGAGAAAAAAAAGAATGAATGGACCGAGAACCCATTCTCTAGGGAAATCACAGCCTATCTGACAGGATTATGGAGTGCTCTAGGGCCTTGCACATGTCCCCCAACCCCCAGCCTCCAGAGCTCACTTCTGACTTGATTTAATGAGATGATGCAGTGATTTGTATAACTCTAAGCTCCTTCTCCCTTTGTGTCACTGAATCAGCCTAACATTATTATCCCAACCCACAAGAGGGTGAGGGAGAGGGAGACAGGCTGAAGGAGAGGAGGTGACTAGCAAAGGTTTTGTATCCTTTGCTAAGGATACAAGAAGTGGGAGAGCCAGGCTCAGGTCAACTTGAATACAAAGATCCCACCCCATCCCCACCCCACCAAACGTATATTCATGAACACACACACACATACAGACACACATACACACACAGATCTAGCCATTTGGCAGCCCAGTAATATACGTATTGTTACTATTTCCATTGTATAGATGAGAAAACTGAGACTCAAAGAGGTTAGATACTTGCTCAGAGTAACACAGCTATGTAGGAAAAACCAAGTAGGAAAAATACATTCTTATTGCCATAACAAGCAACTAGACCAAGGATTTGGAAGCAGAAGAGATAAAAAGACATGAATCCCAATGATTTGGCTTTATGCCATCTCTATCATTTTAGACAATCTTGATGGTACGAAGATGCTGGAGTCTGGGATTCTTTTTTTTTTTTTTGAGACAGTCTTGCTCTGTCGCCCAGGCTGGAGTGCAGTGGCACGATCTCGGCTCACTGCAAGCTCTGCCTCCCGGGCTCATGCCATTCTCCTGCCTCAGCCTCCCGAGTAGCTGGGACTACAGGCACCCGCCACCACGCCTGGCTAATTTTTTTGTATTTTTAGCGGAGACAGGGTTTCATCGCGTTAGCCAGGATGGTCTCGATCTCCTGACCTCGTGATCCACCCGCCTCGGCCTCCCAAGTGCTGGGATTACAGGCATGAGCCAGCACGCCTGGCGAGTCTGGGATTCTTAGGATGGGTGTGGTGGAAACACTGAGCCATCACTTTATCCAACCTATTTTATCCCCAAGTGGCCAAGTTGGGGCACAGAGTGGGCTAAGTATGAGCCTAGTGTCGCACAGTCTGTGAGTGAGGGTCCAACCTACAACCCAGGCAGATCTCACTCCCTCCTAATGTTCCTTCCTCCTAAAGAAATGTCTTGGAGCCAGGCAATTATGATTTTGAGATTATTTCCCACTTTCACGTTTGACCCTGAAGAGAATCAGAAACAAGAACTTTATGACATTGTTTCAGACATCAATGGAAAGGTGAGGTGGGCAGGAACCCTGAGACAAGCCCTGGGGAATGGCAGACATATTGCCTGCACTTAATTCTGTTTGGCAGCAAAGGCAGAGCTAGGTTTGATCTTTGGCAGAAATGACATTTCTTGGACAGTTATCTCCCTTGCATTCTTGTTACCCCTAGATGACCCATAGCCGGACATCCTCATCAGGGTCATCTTCTGCCTACATGTTGGAACTTAGGGAAATTTCATAGCTTCATTTGATAGCCAGTTACTAGCTGAGTGGGTCTAGCAAGTGATGTAACCTCTCTGAGCCTCCATGTACTCATTTGTAAAATGGGGATGAATGAAGTACTTGCCATGCCTACTTCACAAGATGTTGATATATGTCAGATGGGTCTACTTATGTTAGGAGGGCTTTGTGATGTCATGGCCAAATATAAGTTGTTAATGTGACCATTAGTGGCCATGGGCCAGCTATAAGCAGCCAGGTCAAGAGGCCAGCTTCCACAGACGGGGTGGGACAGGGTAAGGGCATAGAGGCAGAGGAGAAGGGAAAAAAAGCTATCAGGCTGGTACAAAAGCAATTGCAGTTTTTGCCATTAAAAGTAAAAAAATTGCAATTACTTTTGCATCAATTTAATGTATCTACACACTTGTTGAGCACAGTCTACCAGGCATCTTCTATTCATGATCTCATTTCAACCACACCATCAAGCTATGAAGGAGATATTTGTAGTGTGTTGAATGATGACCTCTGAAAAGTTATATCCATGTTCTAACTCCTGGAACTTATGAATGTGACCTTCTTTGGAAAAAGGGTCTTTGCAGATGTAATTAAGTTAAGGATCTTGGGATGAGATTATCATAGATTATCTGGTGGGCTCTAAATCCAATTATAGATTTTTTTTTTTTTTTGAGAAGGAGTCTCGCTCTGTCACCCAGGCTGGAGTACAGTGGCGCGATCTCAGCTCACTGCAAGCTCTGCCTCTCGGGTTCACGCCATTCTCCTGCCTCAGCCTCCTGAGTAGCTGGGACTACAGGCGCCCGCCACCACACCCGGCTAATTTTTTGTATTTTTAGTAGAGACGGCGATTCACCGTGTTAGCCAGGATGGTCTCGATCTCCTGACCTCGTGATCCACCCACCTCGGCCTCCCAAAGTGCTGGGATTACAGGCATGAGCCACCTTGCCCGGCCCCAGTGATAGATGTTTTTATAAGAGACACACAGAGGAGAGATACACAGGGGAAAGAGATGGCCATGTGAAGATGGTGTTGGAAATTGGAGTTATGCAACTCCAAGTCAAGGAACACCCAGAGCCACTAGAAGAGACGAAGAAGGGTTCTTCCTTATGTATACACTTCAGAGGGAGTGTAGCCTTACTGATATATATATACATATATATTGAGACAGAACCTTTCTCTGTCACCCAGGCTAGAGTGCTGTGGTGCAATCTTGGCTCACTGCAACTTCTGCCTCCCAGGTTTAAGTGATTCTCACACCTCAGCCTCCCAAGTAGCTGGGATTACAGGTGTGTGCCACCACACCAGCTAATTTTTTTGTATTTCTAGTAGAGACAGAGTTTCACCATGTTGCTCAGGCTGGTCTTGAACTTCTGAGGTAGGGTGATCCTCCTGCCTCAGCCTCCCAAATTTCTGGGATTACAGGCATGAGCTTCCGCTCCCAGCCCCAACTGATACTTTGATTTACAGAACTGTGAGAGAATACGTTTCTGTTTTAAGCCATGAAGTTTGGGATCATCTGTTATGGCAATCCTAGGAAACTCATGCAGATTATCTTTATCTCCATTTTCCAAATGAGAAAACTGTATCAGAGAGGGTAAGTGTTTTTTGCAAAGCCACCTAGCTCATGAGGAACTGTAACTCAGGCTCAGGTTTATCTGATTCCAAAGCCGGTACTCAGATTCTTCAAGTGGACAATGGGAGATTTCAAGGGATGCAGTGGCAGAACGCCTAGGATGAGAAAAGTCAGACTGGATAAACGGAAGAAAGCTGGGATTAGCCAGGCATGGGGGCACGTGCCTATGGTCCCAGCTACTCGGGAGGTTGAGTAGGGAGGATTTCTTGAGCCCAGGAGGCGAAGGCTGCAGTGAGCTGAGATGGCACCACTGCACTCTAGCCTGGGTGACCGAGTGAGACCCTGTCTCAAAATAAACAAATAAAATAAAATAAAAAAAGAAAGATGGAAAATGAACCTTTCAGTTCTGAAGCAGAGCTTTTAAGGCAGAGGATTTCCTGAGGAGAAATGCCCCTTCCAGTAATCCCACAAAAGGTGGTGAAGAGGGGATTTTGAGGGGAATTTTGGTGGTTGTATTTCAGAGATGGTCCCAAGGCCAGTGGTTTTGGGGAACACTGGTTGGGCAGCTCATCCATGGGGCACCCAGGCGGCAACTTTTCAGCTAAGTCAGCAAGAAGGCTCACACCAGTCTGAGCTTGGAGAAACACAGATTTCTTTCTTCCTTTTTTAAAAAAATTCATCCTTCTCTCTCTCTTTTTTTAAACATAAGCCAGGCTGGGAGGAGCCTCAACAAGGAAGGAAATCAATAGGAAATGCCTTTAGAAAATGAGATTTTTTTGAAAGCATGTCATGTCTTCATTTTTGATGCAAAGTATTGGGCCCTGCAATTTGAAACAGGAAACAGCAGAAAGCAAAGGCAGCCAATGTGAGGACATGCTGAGGTCCCTCCTTTCAGAAGCCAGCTGTAACGACAGGGCTGGCAGCAGTGGATACGGGGCCAAGTCACATGGAGGCCAGTTGAGGAAACAGTGGGTGTTGGCCTGGAGAAGAGCAGTCTTGGGCAGGACATAAGAGTTTTATTTGCACAACTAAAGGGCTGTCATAGGGCAGTGGGAGCAGGTATGTTCTGACGGGGTCCAAGGTGAGGAACTAAAACCATTGGTCTGGCTATATCACAGGGAAGCAATAGAAGAAAATAGTTAAAGGCTGTAGAGCCAGGGGCTCAAATCTCAACTTCACCACTGGTTAGTATTATTAAATTTTTAGAGACAGGGTCTTGCTGTGTTATCAGGCTAATCTCAAACTCCTGACCTCAAACAATCATCTGACCTTTGCCCCAGGGATTACAGGCAATGCCAGTGCTGTATTACGGGCATGAGCCACCTCACCTAGCCAATTTCACCACTTATTCACTTGGACAGATTATTTAAGCTCTCTGGGCTTCTGCTTCTTCATCTGTAAAATGGAGCTAACAGTAATACATTTCTCATGGAGTTATTGAGAGGATTAGATGTATGTATAGATATAAAATTAAATTTGCCCAATTCTCTCTATTATAGTCATATATAACTATCTGATACTTTTTTTTTTTTTTTGAGACGGAGTCTGGCTCAGTTGCCCAGGCTGGAGTGCAGTGGTGCGATCTCGGCTTACTGCAAGCTCCGCCTCCCGGGTTCGCACCATTCTCCTGCCTCAGCCTCCCGAGAAGCTGGGACTACAGGCGCCCGCCACTACCCCCGGCTAATTTCTTGTATTTTTTAGTAGAGACCGGGTTCCACCATGTTAGCCAGGATGGTCTTGATCTCCTGACCTCATGATCCATCTGCCTCGGCCTCCCAAAATGCTGGGATTACAGGCGTGAGCCACCGCGCCTGGCCAATGCTTTTTTTTTGATAGAGTCTTGCTTTGTCGCCTAGGCTGGAGTGCAGTGGTGCAATCTCAGCTCACTGCAACCTCCGCCTCCCAGGTTCAAGTGAGTCTCCTGCCTCAGCCTCCCAAGTAGCTGGAATTACAGGCATGTGCTATCATGCCTGCTAATTTTTGTATTTTTTAGTAAAGACAGGGTTTTGCCATGTTGGGCTGGCTGGTCTTGAACTCCTGACCTCAAGTGATCTGCCTGCCTCGGCCTCCCAAAGTGCTGGGATTACAGCTATAGATATATGTCTCAACAACTGTCTTTTGTCTGGGTGTAGTGGCTCACGCCTGTATCCTCACACTTTGGAAGGCAGAGGTGGGAGGATCACTTGAGCCCAGGAGTTGAGACAAGCCTGTACAACTTGACCAAACCCTGTCTCTACCAAAAAAATACAAAAATTAGCTGGGCATGGTAGCATGCACCTGTAGTCCCAGCTATTCAGGAGGCTGAGGTGGGAGGATGGCTTGAGAATGGGAGATGGAGGTTTCAGTGAGGTGAGCTGAGATTGTGTCACTGTACTCGAGCATGGGTGACAGAGCCAGGCCCTGTTGCAAAAGCAACAACAACAACATCTTTTTCTCTGCATATGACTGTATGGATATTTTATTTCTCTACCTATAGTCAGTCACATGTAGAGAGAAAGACAGTTGGGTTGCTCACCCATGGGTTCAACCAAACATGGCTTAAAAAAAAATTTTTTTTTTTTTGAGATGGAGTCTCGCTCTGTAGCCCAGGCTGGAGTGCAGTGGCGCGATCTCGGCTCACTGCAAGCTCTGCCTCCCAGGTTCACGCCATTCTCCTGCCTCAGCCTCCCAAGTAGCTGGGACTACAGGCGCCCACCACCGCGCCCAGCTAATTTTTTGTATTTTTAGTAGAGACGGGGTTTCACCATAAAAATATTTTTTTAAAAACCATCTTTACTGAACATGTACAGATTCTTTTTTTCTTGTCATTATTCCTTAAACAAAATAGTGTAGCAAACATAGTGTAACAACTACTTACATAGCATTTACATTGTATCAGGTATTATAAGTAATCTAGAGATGACTTAAAGTACATGGAGGATGTGGTTAGCTTATATGGCAAACCAAATTTTATGTCAGCAACTTGAGCATCTGTGGATTTTGGTATCCTCCAGAGTTTCTGGGACTAATCCCCCATGGTTACCGAGAAATGACTGAACAGCTCTTGGAACAGTACCCTGTAGATGTTAGCTATTTTTAGCTCTTCTTGGAGAAACCAAGGAAGACTTTCTAGAGGACACAGAGCTGGGATTTAAAAGGTGGATATGGGATACATCTGAGCAAGGGCATGGCTAGGAGGAGGGCTGGCAAGCACAGAGGCGAGGAGAGACCCCTCCTGGTATGTTGGGCTGCTCCATGTAGTGTAGCATCCTGTAGGGAAAGCAATGAGAGATGGGGTTGGAGGAGCTGCCAGGGCTGGTTCATGGAGAGCTGAGCATCTGAGTTAGGAGCTTGGTCCTGTAGATCAGTGCTGCTTAAACTTGAGCATGCATCAGAATTATCTAGAGGGCTCATTAGAACACACGCTGTTGGGTCCCACCCTTAGAGATTCTGACCCAGTCGGTCCGGGGTGGGGGTTGAGAATTTGCCTGTTGAGCAAGTTCCCAGATGACACTGATGATGCTAGTCCAGGGAACATCTGGAAACCATCCCCCTCCACTGCAGGTGGAGAACTTTGATAACTCCTGCTGTAGATCCCATAGGCAATGGGAGGATTGAGCCAGGTTCAAGGGCAGGTCTCAGGAAAAATGCACTCGGTCTTGCTACTGCTGAGGCCGCATGAGCAGCCACCTGAGACCAGAATGGAAGAGTGTCTAGAGGTGGAATAGCTGGGGCTGGCATCCTCTGTTCTCTGAGAACGGCTATAAGCCAATTTTGTTAGTAGACCCGGTGGAAGCAGAACTCAGTAGGCATGCTCCAAGGGCAGGGTGGCAGCTGGGTGCCACTCCAGGCCACTTCACCCTTGATTTTCTGCCTTTATTAAGGGTAGCCATGGAAAGGGTGACCTACTTCCTGGGGATCCCAGGGATAGACATCTGAAATCCAGACAGCAAAAGGAAACCTCTTAACTGCTGCTCCTCCAGACCCACGGCCCATGGCCTGACGCCTACCTGGGTCCCTGTCAGTAACTGCGGCGGCAGCTTCCTGGATTGCTGAGGCGGAGAGGACACCGATCAAGGCTTCATCCCACCCTCTCTCTCTGTCAGTGCTGGGGGAAAAACAATATTTAGTTAGTTAAACACCCGGCTGCGGTTTCATTTGAAAAGCTGGATTTGATTAGGAGACTGCAGGGATTGATTTATGAGGACAGCTGAAAAAAAGAACAAGCATAAATATGGAGAACTCACCCAAATGATGACTAAGAGAGGACGAATATACAGAGTCCTCACAAGTGGAGACGGAAAGGACTTATTAAGGTTTTTGGTCCCATATCGGGTTTATGTAGTCACAGTTCCTGACGGTATTTTTCAAGATCTCAGCCTAGACCTGTTTTAAGTCAAGGGGTACATTAGGTGTGGAGGTGCCCACTTTTCCTAGGAGATTTCCACCTCTGAAAGAAATAGTTTTTCATATATATATAAAATGGATATATTGTATGATATATTGTAAATGAATATATTCTATATAATGATATGTAATATATATGACATAAAAATATATATGAAATATATATTTTTTTCTTCCTGTAGCAGCCTTGTAAAGGGATATTCACTAATGCATTGTTTGAAAATGAAAAATTGGAAACAGTCTAAGCTGTCCATCACTGGGGGGGATGATTAGATAATGGATCACTTACCCAGACTGTGGAATTGTTAAGGGGTGGTTTACAAAGAGTGCTGTAGTTCTGGGTCTGTACATGCAGTGATCTCGGGTGCAGGCAGTAAGATTCAGGAGAACATGTAGGGTTGGTCCCTTTAATATAAAAGCAGGCCAGGTGCAGTAGCTCATGCTTGTAATCCCAGCACTTTGGGAGGCTGAGGCGGGTGGATCTTCTGAGGTCAGGAGTTTCAGACTGGCCTGGCCAACATGGCAAAACCCCGTCTCTACTAAAAATACAAAAATTAGCTGGGCATGGTGGCAAACACCTGTAATCCAAGCTACTCTGGAGACTGAAGTAGGAGAATTGCTTGAACCTGGGAGGTGGAGGCTGCAGTGAGCCAAGATCGTGCCACTGCACTCCAGCCTGTGCAACAGAGTGAGACTCAATCTCAAAACAAACGAACAAAAAAAACAAACAAACAAAATAAAGCACACACACACACACAGAGTCACATATTTCTCCTATGAACAAATATGGGGATAAACTCATAGCCGAAGGCTTGGAGGGATGCACATCAGAATTAGGAGAGTGGTGGGATGGGTGAGTTTCAAGGGAGGTTTCTGCTTTGTATGTAATGTTTGAGTGTTTGCTTTGAGATGTATTGATGTATTACTTTTATAATTAAAAAATGATTAAAAACATAAGCAAATCTTTCCCTGAACTCCTATGGGAAGAATGACGAGAACCGCAGCTCCGGCCCCTCCATACCTTTCCTCAGGACCTCGGCAGTGTCCTTTGCTCTTCAGCCCATAGGATCTATCTCTTGTCTTTGGGTCCTACTGGTGCCCACATGCTCCAGAAGTCCCTCCCCCGGCCTGCCCTCCAAGACTTAACCTGGCCTTGACCTGAGCGTCATGTCAGTGTCACCCATGTGACTGGCCTCACCTCGTCTCACCTGAGCCCACACAAAGCTACTTCCTGGGGCATCTTCAAGAAAGCCCCCAGGGCTCCAGCTCTCCTCTTGGACTGGCTCTTGTAGTTTGGCATGACCCCCTTTTCCTTACCTCCCTCTCTACCTCCCCTCCTTCTCTCTACTGGAGCAGAAGAAGTGGGGGTGAGACCACATAAGCCACACCATCACACAAGGACACCCTCCAAGGTCCCACCCCACTGGGGGTCTCTGCACAGCCCCAGCCTACCTCCCTTTTTTCCTTCCCAAGATGTAACGCTTGTCTTACTGGCCCACTGCCTAGAAAGTGATGGGCAGTTGTTAACTTCTGCACTGATTCCAGAATCTCATTCCTGGGAGGTCTGGCCTGGTGGTGCCCACAGGTCAATGGTGGGCAAAAGAGAGATCTTCTGGGACACTCATGGGATCATGTTTTTCCACTTCCCTCAGTAATCTAGCCAAAAAGCACACAAGCTGAAAGCGCCTCGCTTTTGTCATTTGTAAGCTGAGAAGGCTGGCTCTGGTGGTTTCAGAACTTGCCTCCAGCTCTGACATCCAGTGTTTCCTTGCATGCCTTTGTTGGTGCTCACCTCTCCAGTGTGGCTCTTGGACCATCTGTCTCATTCCAACAGCAACCCTGTGGAGCAGGCAGGGCCGCTCACATTTTCCCCGTCCTACAGTGTATGGAGATAGCCTGCAAAGACAAGGCTTAGAGATGTCAAAGATGGCCCAAGCTCATTCAGCTGGTATCAGAGTCCTGGGCAGGAATTTGCACAGAAAGGTCTTCAGAGAGTCTATTCAGAAGTAAGAGTTTCTCTGGTGGGTAAGAGGAAAAGGATCACCCAGGCAGGGAAAGAATTGCATAAAGGAATTGGGGGTGAGAGGACGGGAGCATGGTGATTAGCTCAATGAGGCTGCAGCAAGGGAGTATGAAAAGGAATTGGATGGAGAGGTCATTGGGACACCTTTCCGTCTCCTTATAAATAAGTCTACCTCAAATACTTCCTCCTCCAGGAAGCCTTCTGGCAATGGTGTACTGGTAAATGTTAAACACTCATTATCTTTCCAAAAATGAAATAAAATAAAAAGCCTTTATTTATAGTGTTGGCCAATGACCCCCTCCAGTCTGATATCAAGTTAGCAAAGTGAAGTTACTGAATGCTCAGGAAAAAATACACAGTCAGCTCTGGGAAGTAAGTAAGTGCCACCTCGAGCACACCACAAGGTTACTAACTCTTCTCTCTGCCCCGAAACTTGTGGTGGCCTCTGTGGCTTAGCAACTATCACATAGCTGAAATCATCTGTGTATAGGTCTCTTACATGAGACTGTGTGAGTTTTTAAAGGTTAGCACCCATGTTTTGATTAAAGGGTTTAATGATGATTAAGTGAATTGAACCTATTATTAAAATGTGTGAATACATATAACACGCTTAGAAGTGCTCATATAAGTGAAAGCTATGCCTACTAGCTGTTACCTTTGTCTCCCAGTAAAGGCCAGAAGCACCAAGATGTCTGTTGAAGGGATGAATTAATTCTTAACCTAAATGGGTACCCAAGCTCTGTTTTCCTTATTCTTCTTGTTTTTACAGATTATTTCTTTGCTGAAAATAAATTTTTAATTTTTTTTTTTTGTAAAGATTAGGGTCTTGCTATCTTGCCCAGGCTGGTCTCAAACTGTTGGCCTCAAGTGATCTTCCCACCTTGGCTTTCCAAAGTGCTGGGATAATAAGCTTGAGCCAATAGGCCTGGCCTGTCCAAAATAATTTAGAATTCTATGCAAGTTTTTGTTTCATGGTGAAAACTCTCTCACCAAATTCTTTTGGACAACAAGGGCCCTCCCAATCCATTCTGTCAACACTGGCACAATCATGGTGGGGTGAATTGAATTTGGATTCTGATGGAGGCTTCTCACTTTTTTTAGCTGGGCATCTGAGTGCTGTACCTCTCTGAGCCAAGTTTCATTATCGGAAAAAGGAAGACATGCCATCAACTTCCATGGGGTTAATGAGACCAGTAAACAAGTTTTGGAGCTGCACCAGTTGTCCTGTTCGTTTCCCATCCCCATCCCCATGTTCTACCCTTCCCTGCCCTTCTCCGTTGGTGCCTGGAAGTCGACTGCGACAGCACTCCTTGGCCTCAGCCATCCCCTGGAACTTAGCTAGTGGGAATAGCGGCAGAAGATTGGGGGCATGTGGGAGGAGAAAGACGCTCCCTTCTGGCCAGGCACTGTGGCTCACGCCTGTAATCCCAGCACTTTGGGAGGTCGAGGCAGGTGGATCACGAGGTCAGGAGATTGAGACCATCCTGGCTAACATGGTGAAACCCCGTCTCTACTAAAAATACAAAAAATTAGCCGGGCGTGGTGGCACGTGCCTGTAGTCCCAGCTACTCGGGAGGCTGAGGCAGGAGAATCACTTCAACCTGGGAGATGGAGGTTGCAGTGAGCCAAGATCACGCCATTGCATGCCAGCCTGGGCAACAGAGCGAGACGCCATCTCAAAAAAAAAATAAAATAAGGCTCCCCTTTGCTTCAGCTTGGTCTGACCAATGATACATCACACATCACAGCCTCCACGATCCAGCTCCAGCTCCCAGTGGTGGCTGCCAATCTCCTTGGGCTCCAGCTCTTAGCCAGGCATAGGGTTGAGGAGGAATTAGGTCTTCAGCCTTCTTAGTCCCAGAGTGTCTCAAAATACATTGTTATTCCATGCAATCCTACCCAGACCTTGACAAATAGTCCCTTTAATATAATTTATTTTAAGTATCCCAGACCAGTATGTCATCTGCTTTCTGCCAGTACCTGGACAATATCAAATCTGGTGTCTGGGCTGTAAGAGAGGTTTAATAATAATAACCTGAGCAGCCAGTCTTTATTCAGGATTTAGCTTGGGCATTATGGCCAGTCATTTTTCTGTTTCAGTTTTTTTAAGAACCATTATATCATTGAATCTTCACAAAGGCGCTGTGTGGGAGATATTAATTATTATACCCATTTTGCAGATGAGAAAAGTAAAGCTTTAAGGTGTTAGTGATTAGCTAAGTCATCCAGCTAGTATGCAGGGGAATCAGGATTCAAATTAGTTGATGTTAATAATACTGTTATTTGGCGAACAGGGACCAAATCTTAGACTCTGACTCTCACTGCAGTCTTGTACCCAGAAGTGCTCGGCAGACACTCGCTGATGGATGGAGGCTTGTAGTTCAGAGCCCTAAGTTTCTGCCTCATCTGTGTTTTCCGGGAGTTCTCCCTGTGGCTTCAGGGCCACACGTGCCTCTACAGACCCTTGCTTCTTGTTCAGAGAGTGTCTGGGCTGCTGTGTTCCCAAACAAGCCCTGGGGATGGAGTTTTTCTTTCATTACTTCTTGCCCATATTTCTACACACTCTGAGCTGCCAGCACAGCCTCCTTGTTCCTCCACCCTCCTGGTCACTCATGCCCACTGGTGTTTACAATACGCCTCCAGCATCTGTGGACTTCATTACAGCCTGTGCTACACCCTCTTCCTGCTCATCGGTGCAGACTGCATGAGGCCAGACTGAACACAGCTCCCCAGGGTGCCTGCCAGACACTTCCACCAGCCCTGCCAGATTCCCTTCTCTGGGGACAGCCAGCCAACCTCTAATCCAGGTGTCTCTGCAGGATAAACATTCCCCATGGGGCACCAAAGCCATATTCTGTTCTAGCCTGTGCTATAGTTAGCACTATTTGGAGAGTGACTTAGAGCATTAGTTTTGGAGTCAGGAAGACCTGCCACTTAGTAGCGCTGTGATCTTGGTTCAGTAGACTAACTTCTCTGACCCTCGTGTTCCTAGTCTGGAAAACTGAAGATAAATAGAGTTGAGAAATGGGATTGTTCCATGGAAAGCACCTGGCTCATCTTAGGCACAGAATTCATTCTCTCTTCCTCCTAAAGACCACTCTGGGGATACTAACGAGCAAGAAGTAGAGTACATTTGTCATTTATTTGCTTATTTTTGTAGTGCTCTTGACTAGGTGTTGATATATTATCAGAGATTATAAACACAATTATCCCCATTTTATAAACATTCCAAGTTCAGAGAGCTTAAGTTAATTTGCTTATATTCACCCAAATAACAGGTTGGGTTTACCATTGACCCTAATTTAAACTGACTCTCTATTTTTAATTTTCTCTTGTCATTTTTTTTTTCAGAAATGAAAAGAAACAACTAAGTGATATTCGCCTAAATGAAACTGCCTGTATTTCTTGTAAAAAGATAGTCGCCTTTGCTCTCTGCACTTTTTTTTGTTTGTTTGTTTGTTTTTTGAGACAGAGCCTTGCTCTGTTGCCCAGGCTGGAGTGCAGTGGTACGGTCTTGGCTCACTGCAACCTCCACCTCCTGGGTTCCAGCGATTCTTGTGCCTCAGCCTTCCCAGTAGCTGGGATTACAGGCGTTCACTACCATGCCCAGCTAGTTTTTATATTTTTAGTAGAGATTGGGTTTCGCCATGTTAGCCAGGCTGGTCTTGAACTCCTGGCCTCAAGTGATCTGCCTGCCTCAGCCTCTCAAAGTGCTGGGATTACAGACATGAGCCACCCCACCTGGCCTATTTTTCTTTATCCAGATATTCTCTCATGAAAGTAGTTGTCATTTGTGACTCCATAATCTCATTATCTAGTTTTCTCTGCTCCTTGGATGAGCTGAACTTTCCAAGCCCTTTTTGAGATATTGCCTATCAAGGATGAAATGCAGGAAAGTCATACTCTCAGTGGACTGACATGGGAGTGTTTATTCCGTAGGACTCAAGTCAGGACTTGGGTTGGGGCTAAAGTCGGGGATGGTCTGGATGACAGAATGAATTTGACATCATTGTCATTGTTATGCATTTTCTCCTTATTAAGCTCAGAAGTTGAGGCATGTTTAAGAGTTTCTTTCTTCTTATATCATTGTTTTATTTGAGAATTTAAATAGGGCTGTGAGCTTTCACTCACCACCATATTATGAGCTCCCTGCTGGGTCTCACTGATCTCTGAACCTTGTATGGCCCCTTCTACAGTGCTTTGCATACAATGGCGGACAAACTTGAATGAACGAACATTTATGGAGCACTCTATTGTTCTCTATATTATTCTGTTTGCTTGCATGGATAGCGGTGGACACTGGTTCTGAACCTGATTGGACCTTCCGGCTCTACATGTAGTGCTTTCCTCACACTTCAGCTGTCCGGCAATATCTCTATCAATGATGGTTGTTGAGCAAGATTTGTCTTTTCTTTTAAAGACTGCCAGTGATGTCATATATGGTGTTGGGGGAAGGAAGGTGAATAAGAAATATATAGAGAGGGCTGGGCGTGGTGGCTCAGGCCTGTAATCCCAACACTTTGGGAGGACGAGGTGGGTGGATCATGAGGTCAGGAGATTGAGACCATCCTGGCCAACATGGTGAAACCCTGTCTCTACTAAAAATACAAAAATTAGCCAGGAGTGGTGGTGTGCACCTGTAGTCCCAGCTACTCAGGAGGCTGAGGCAGGAGAATCACTTGAACCCCGGAGGCAGAGGTTGTACCACTGCACTCCAGCCTGGGCAACAGAGTGAGATTCCATCTCAAAAAAATGTATATATATATACAGATATATATACACACACAGAGAGAGAAAGGCAATTTTGGAAGGAGGGTGAGTGAAGCAGGCATGATCTCTCTTCACAGACAGGATTATAACGAGCCTCAGTTGACTGGGTGGTTCCCTCGGCATGTGAGAGTAAAGAGGTTGAAAGAAACCAATGTGTTATCATGGGAACTGTCCCAGTTTTATAATCTTCATTTATTAAAAGGGCTGAAAATGAACACATGGAGAGCAGGGAAAATTCAGTGAATGGGAAGTAATGCAGGCTAATAATTTAAATACAAGTTTTGAAGTGGGAAATCAGAGAGTGGAGAAATATTTTGAGGAGTCTTTGAGCTGCTCAAATTGCTTTTCCTGGTTAAGAAATAATTGGCTGCAGGTGAGGAAAAGAATTACGGTTCTGTATCTGAAAAAGATGCATTGAGGTTAGTGCTTCTTGGCCAAAAAGATATCAACCAAGGAGCATCTCAAGGAGAGGGGGAACGGTCCTCTGTGCAGGATGGCCACTTGTCTGAGCAGGAGATGCCTGACAGAGCTCCTGGAAGGTGAAAGGACCTGAGGTGAAATTGTTGATGGAATTAGTCTGATTGCAAAAATGGTCACAAATTATTCCCCACCCTGTATGTATATCCCTGTGTGATGTAACAGCAATTCCTCTCATCAGGAGGTGACATCTATTTCTCCAGCCCTACCATCTTGCCTTGGCCATGATTCCAACATGTGACTTATTTGGTCAGTAAGAGAGTAGCAAATGTGATGCAGTCAGAGGCTTGAAAAATGCTTCAGGTTGAGAATTGCCTTCTCCTGATGCCCTTGGTTACACTGCAACCACCAGCACATGAATAAGCCCTGGGCAGCCTGCTGGATGACAAGAGACACATAGCCCAGTTGCTTCCATCACCCTGCTGAAAGCCAGATGTCTGAGGCTGCTGATGGCCAGCAGATCTCAGGTAAATGAGGGGGCCCAGTTGATTCCACATGGAATACATGAGCTGTCACAGCTGATCCCCACTCAAACTGTTGACTCTCAGAATCATACACAAATAAACAGTTGTTGTGTTGAACGCTAAGTTTTGGGATTATTTGTTATACAGCAAAAACTAACTGATGCAAAGTATACGCAACAGATGGCAAGCAGCAAGTAGGGAAAGAAAAATGCACTTGACATAGGTGTAGATCAGGAGTTGGCAAACTATTGCCCATGAGCCAAATACAGCCCACCACCTCCTAGGAAGTCATCCTGAAAGTCAAATTATATAAAACAGTGCATAAAAATATATATAGAGAGAAGGGTAATTTTGGTGTTAAAGATTATTTACATTTAACATTTTTATAAACATTCTCCAATTGCCTTCCAGAAGCTGTTTTGACTTATACTCTTACCAATAATGATTAGAGAAAATAGACACTATTGATGTGTAACATAGATCATTTCATCTCCCAGAACACAGAGGATGCAACTAGAGGAACAGAAATAAATTTATCTTGCAAGGAGGAACTGGGTTAACCTTGGGAGAAATTGACCATGTCATTTTAGAGTTCCTGATAGTCTAAGGGAACAGTGAAGGTGCTGTTTGGAAGACAGGTTCTACAAAGCTCTTCAGAGGCTGAAAAGATAAGCCCAATCTAGGCTGATGAGATATCAATAGAGATTGATGTCAATTTCTGCATCTGGGCTCAAGTAAACAATAGCATTAACACATGGTGGGAACCCAGTGACTTCAACACCACGAGGTGTGAAAAAGACCAGGGAGCTCAATAAGAATCAGCAGTGGGGTGTGCCTCCATCAATGCTAGTCACACTATTGGCTGCTTGGTGAGTGCTCCCTTCTACTCTGGGCTGCTGAGACCATATCCACATCACTGGGTTCCATTCTGGCTACTGTACTCTGAGGGGGTGAAAATTACCTGGGTGGGAGAAGGTGCTTTTGAGGAGAGAATGTAGGATGCTGAAGGACTCCAGTTCATTTCATTTGGAGAAATTTTGAATGTGCCAGGAAGCCTTAATTTAGAGAAGACTCAGAAGGGACGTGAAAAGCATTTTTCAGTATTTGTGTTTTACAGTAAAAATATCTTTGTTATTTTTTAAATTATAAAATTATAGATAATACAAAAAGGTGAACACAACGAAAAAAAGGTAAAGAAGAGGCTGGGCTCAGTGGCTCACGCCTGTAATCACAGCACCTTGGGAGGCCGAGGTGGGCAGATCACGAGGTCAGGAGCTTGATACCAGTCTGACCAACATGGTGAAACCTAGTCTCTACAAAAAATACAAAAATTAGCTGGACATGGTGGTGCACACCTGTAGTCCCAGCTACTCGGGAGGCTGAGGCAGAAGAATTGCTTGAACTTGAGAGGCAGAGGTTGCAGTGAACCAAGATCATACCACTGCACTCCAGCCTGGCTGACAGAGTAAGACTCCATCTCAAAAAAAAAAAAAAAAAAAAAGTAAAGAAGAAAAAACAATTATCTTGAATTGTATTATATAAGAGGAATATTACTGATATCTTGATGAACATTGCTCTAGACAGCACACTGCAAATACATGCACATACAATATACATATAATTTTACATAAAAGGTGATATGGTTTGGCAGTGTCCCCACCCAAATGCCATCTTGAATTGTAACTCCCACAATTCCCACATGTTGTGGGAGGAACCAGATGGGAGGTGATTGAATTATGGGGGCAGATCTTTCCTGCACTGTTCTTATGATAATGAATGAGTCTCACGAGACCTGATGATTTTAAAAACGGGAGTTTCCCTGCACAAGCTCTCTCTTTGCCTGCTGCTATGTGACTTGCTGTAAGATGTGACTTGCTCCTCCTTGCCTTCCGCTATGATTGTGAGGTCCCCCAGCCATGTGGAACTGTTAAGTCCATTAAACCTCTTTCTTTTATAAATTGTCCAGTCTCGGGTGTGTCTTTATCAGCAGTGTGAAAGCAGATAAATACAGAAGGTGTAATATTAATTTTTTAATTACTCAACATTATGTAATGGACATATTTCAGTGTCAACTAGGTTATCACATTTAATAGCTATTTAGAATTTCATTGCATGTTTTGACCATAATTTATATAACCAATTTCCTATTAATAGAAATTTAACTGTTGGGTGGCTCCTGCCTATAATCCCAGCATGTTGGGAGGCTGAGGTAGGTGGATCACCTGAAGTCAGGAGTTCGAGACCAGCCTGGCCAACGTGGTGAAACCTCATCTCTACTAAAAATGCAAAAATTAGCCAGTTGTGGTGGCTCACATCTGTAATCCTAGCTCCACGGGAGGCTGAGGCAGGAGAATTGTTTGAACTTGGGAGGCGGAAGCTGCAGTGAGCCAAGATTGCGCCACTGTACTCCAGCCTGGGCAACAGAGTGAGACTCCAATCCCCACCCCCACCCCCCCAAAAAAGAAATTTAACTGTTCAATATTTTTGCTATTACAAGTGAACAATTAGATCAATATCCTTAACTTACATCATTGTTCATTTGGCTAGTTATCTTAGGATAAATTCCTAGGAGTAAAACTTCTGGATTTAATAGTTACACAATTAAAATTTTGATGTTATTAAACTGTCCTCCAGAAAGATTAAATCAATTTGCACACTGTGATGATCTTGTTTTTATTTATATTTTTATAGCACCTTGGTGCATTTGAATATATATATATATATATTTTTTGACAGAGTCTTGCCCTGTCGCCCAGGCTGGAGTACAGTGCTATGATCTTGGCTCACTATAGCCTCTGCCTCCCAGGTTCCAGCAAGTCTCCTGCCTCAGCCTCCTGGGTAGCTGGGATTACAGGCGCATGCCACCACACCCAGCTAATTTTTGTATTTTTAGTAGAGACGTGGTTTCACCATGTTGGTCAGGCTGGTCTCGAACTCCTGACCTCAGGTGATCTGCCTGCCTTGGCTTCCCAAAATGTTGGGATTAAAGGCGTGAGCCACTGCACACCAGCCTGAATATTCTTTTATATGTTTAGTACCATTGTATTTCTTATTTATTTATTTATTGAGACAGAATCTCACTCTGTCGTCCAGGCTGGAGTTCCAGGGTAGGATCTCGGGTCACTGCAACCTCTGCCTCCCAGGTTCAAGCGATTCTCCTGCCTCAGCCTCCCGAGTAGCTGGGATTACAGGCACCTGCAACAACGCCTGGCTAATTTTTATATTTTTAGTAGAGGTGGGGTTTCACCATGTTGGCCAGGCTGGTTTTGAACTCCTGACCTCAAATGACCCACCCGCCTTGGCCTCCCAAAGTGTGGGAGTTACAGGCATGAGCCACCATGCTCGGCCTACCATTGTATTTCTTAATTTATGAATTTCCAGTTAATACTTTTTGCCCATTTTTCTGTTGAATAAATTTGTGTAAGTTTTTTGTAAGTGTAATGACATTTTATCTTTTATATATGTTACACATACATTTTTCCCCCAGTGTGTCAATTAAACTTCTTCATGGTCATTTGCTTGTTTGTTTTGGTTAATCGTTTTTGCTTATTAAAGTTTTCAATTTTTACATAGCAATTCTATTCATTCCTTTCATCCTTCATTATATGTAATGGTTGTCATATGGAAGAGGATTAGACATCTATGAAGAAGACAGAATCAGTCCAATGGGAGAAAGTTGCAGCATGGCAGATTTTTACTAAAATAACAAACAACTTTCTCCCAATTAAGACTGTGAGATACGGAATACGCTGTCTCGCAGGTAGTGAGATCTCCATAATTAGAGGCTGTTAAGCATGAATTGCATGACCACCGACAGTGATGCTGTACTGGATGAGGCCATATGGCCTCTGGCATCCTTAATTATTTACAAGGCAGATTTTTAATGGAATGCCAATAATGTAATTCTAATTGTTTTTCCCAGAGAACTTTTTTCAAAACTGCAACACCATGCAAAATTTGGGGTTTCCAGGAGCAGCTGGACCAAAGTTGATGTGGCAGATCAGGCAGCACTAAATGAAAATAGCTCAGAACCACTGAAAATTATAAGAAAGCATACCAGGACATTGTTAGTGGTCATATGCTTGTCATTCATGAGTTTTACTTTCATCACCATGCATCACCTTCCAGCCACAGAAATATCCACTGAACCATACAAAGCTCATAGGAGTTGACCTCTCATAACTGGGAATGCAGGTGGATGTAGGCAAAACTGACTTCCTAGCATAAGTCAATTGTGGGCATGGCCAAGTCTTTTGAGAGTAACAGAGCAAGGTGGTGCCAGGCATGAGTATCGAAGCAATCTAGTATAATACTGCTATTGTAAAATTGGTAGAGCTGAATTACATAAAGGAGAGGAAAGTTCTCACTAAATAAGTCTCAGAATAGGATAAGGCCCTATGAGTCTTAATCCATCTCACTATATAGTTATTCCCTTTTTGACCTTGCGTTACTACTGCTTGATAGGCAGAATTGGAGAAAATAGGGTCAAACTTAGACCTGCAAGAATGCTTTTACTTTCTATGAATATAAAGTAATTGAATGAATAATTACATAATTGAATGAATTATTACATTCATTCAATAATGTATAATGAAACACTATGATGTGCAAAGCATTGGGAATTCAGCAATGAACAGGAAAGATAGCAGTTCACAGCCTAGAGGGGAAGCCACCTTTAAACAATTAATGACATCATAGGTTGTGAAAGATACAAGGTGCTCGGGTCGTTCACAGCCATGGCACTGAAACCTGTCCAGGATATCAGAAAAGGCCTTCTGGAAAGACTAAAATTAAAGCAGAGATTTAAAGAAGGAGGAAGAGGTGCTGCCCATGAGAAGGGAGGACAGGAGAAGAGAATAAAATATGGGGCTGCACAAGTATTTCAGGGGAATAAAAACACCTGTAAAAATCCAAAGCCAGAGAGAAATTTAGATTCACGCCTCTCTGGAGTGGTATTAGGCTGTTTCTGATGCATGTGATGTAGTAGCAAGAACCAAAATTTAAAATGAGAGTTTGGCTGGAGTTTGGTTCCCAGCCTTGCTAGTTCCTGAGCATATGACCTTGGCAAATAACATAATCTGTCTTCAAATAACATAATCTGTCTTGACCTCAAGCTTCTCATCTGCCAAATGGCGATAATAGCACCTGCTCCACAGGTTGCTGTGAGAATGGAATTAGCTAATAGATACAAAATTTTGGTCAGTGTGGGGCTAGGTTTTAAATAAGCCTTACTGAAGCTGTCAGTGACCAAAATCTATTCTTTTCACCTAGCCCAAATCTTTCTTGCTATCTGTGAATATACATCAACTGGATTGGTTCAACAGAGTTTTACTCAGTTTCTACTTTGGGTCATTGTAGATTCAGGCACTGTGAGAATATGAAAGAAGTGTGCCACAGGGATCGAAAAGTAGAAGTTAGTTTGGAAGAGAAGGTTAGTTTAAAGAGGTGTTTGTCTCTTAGTGTTTTGTTGTTTTTTTTTTTGATTTTTTTGAGACGGAGTGTTGCTCTGTCGCCCAGGCTGGAGTGCAGTGGTGCGATCTTGGCTCACTGAAACCCCTCGCTCCCAGGTTCAAGTGATTCTCCTGCCTCAGCCTCCTGAGTAGCTGGGATTACAGGCACCCGCCACCAAACCCAGATAATTTCTGTGTTCTTAGTAGAGACAGGGTTTCACCATGTTGGCCAGTCTGGTCTTGAACTCCTGACCTCAGGTGATCCACATGCCTCGGTCTCCCGAAGTGTTGGGATTACAGGCGTGAGCCACCGTGCCCAGCCTATCTCTTATTTTGTATGTATATCTTCAACTCCATCTGGTCTACGAGCTTCCGCAGGAAAGGATCTATAAAATAGGTCCTCTCTTTAATCCCAGTAAGATTCCCAAGTGTCTGATTTAGAGTAAGTGCTCAGCAAATCCCAGTTAAATAGAACAATGAAAGTTTGGGAATTTACAGCAGATTTTAAACGGTAGCAAACACATACATAGATTAGAGGGGTTATCAGAAGGAAAACCTGTGTAAATCAGGGAAGGTTTATAGAGGTAAGGTTGGAAGGTTCAGCTTTTGTAGATGCTGTCAAAGAACTTTCAAAGTAGTTGTACCTTTTTATTTTTCTACCAGCAATGTATGAGAAATGAATATAGAGGGTACTTTTAGCCTTTTTAATTTTAGCTATTCTGGCAGGAGAGGAGAGATATTCTATCATGGTTTTATTTTGCATTTTCTTGGTGACTAATGATTTTGAGCATCATTCCATATGATTGTTAGCCATTTGAATATCCTTTTTGTAAAGTGTCTGTTCAAGTCTTTTGCTCACTTTCAAAAATTATATTGACTATTTTTATATATTATGAATGCAAGACCTTTGTTGGATTTATGGACTGTGAATCTCTTCTCCGAGTATGTGGGTCAACCATTTACTGTTCATGGTCTCTTTCTATGGAAGAAGTTCTCAATTTTAACAAAAACCAGTATGTCGATTTTTTAAGGGTTAGTTCTTTTTGTGTACTATTAAAGAAATCCTTACCTAATCCAAGATGATAAAGATATATTCCTATTTTTGTTTTAGTTTTATTTTAGGTTTGGGGGTACATTTGAAAGTTAGTTAATGTAGGTAAACTCATGTCATGGGGGTTTGTCTTACAGATTACTTCATCACCCAGGAATTAAGCCCCCAAAATATGGGACGCTTCACAAATTTGCATGTCATCCTTACAAAGGGGCCATGCTAATCTTCTCTGTATTGTTCTCATTTTAATAAATGTGCTGCTGGAGCAAGCACAAACGTTTTTTAATGAAATCTTTTTTCCTCAATCAAAAAGAAATGCATGAATATGGTTTAAAAAATTCAAAGAGTCTGAAGGATAATAAAATTACAACTAAATCTTCTAATTGTCATGACCAAGTTCTCCCCAAAGGCAACCACTATTAACACTTTTTTTATACAGGCTTATAGATATTTTCTAGATATATATTTATAAAAATATATGTATGAATATTCCTTTTACTCATTCACCAAATGGTACATATTAATAAGGCTGTCCTGTACCTTGCTATTTTTGTTCAACAGTGTATCTCAGCGATTTTTCCCTATTGACCCCTTTGAAATGACCTCACTCCTTTTAAAGGCTTGCAGATAATTGTTTTGTATACAAGCTTTATAATTTAAAGCTACTGACCCCTCCTAAAGGGATGAGTTAGGTTGTGTTTAGTCTTTTCTTATGACAAACAGTGCTGCAATAAACATCCTTGTGCATAGGACTTTGTGTGAGCAATGAAATGACTTGTTCCAAGGGTATGGATGTTTATAATTCTGTTAACTCTGGCCAAATTATCAAAAAGGTTATATTGGCTTATATATACTCCAGCAGCATGTGAGGGTGTATTTCCTTTCTCTGGAGGGGTAGAATTTTTTTTCTTTTTTTTTTTTTTTTTTTTTTTTGAGATGGAGTTTTGCTCTTGCTGCCTAGGCTGGAGTATAGTGGCATGATCTCAGCTCACTCTCACTGCAACCTCCGCCTCCTGGGTTCAAGCAAGTCTCCTGCCTCAGTCTCCTGAGTAGCTGGGACTGCAGGTGCCCGCCACCACACCTGGCTAATTTTTTTTTGTATTTTTAGTAGAGACGGGGTTTCACCATGTTGGTCATGCTGGTCTCGAACTCCTGACCTGAGGTGATCCACCCACCTCAGCCTCCCAAAGTGCTAGGATTACAGGTATGAGCCATCGCACCCGGCCGGATTTAAATAAGAAGAGCAATGAAGAGAACACTTTTCATAGAAGGAACAGCATAAACAAAGGCTTACAGTGGAGTTTTCCAACCTCGGCACTATTGAGTGTTTTGGCTGAATAATTCATTGTTGTAAGGACTGTCCTGGACATTATAGGATGTTTAGTGGTATCCCTGGCCTCTACCTACTAATGCCAGTAACAAGCCGCCCTCTCTGCCCCTTAGGTGTGACAACCTAAAATGTCTCCAGACGCTGCCAAATGTTTTGTGGGGGACAAAATTGCACTGGGTTGAGAATCATGACTTAGAGGTTGGGATGATCAGGGGTCAGGCTGTGGGGGGATTTGTGTTTGTGTGTGTGCATATGTCTATACAAGTGCACAGTGAGCACAGGGTAAAATCGAGAAGGCTGGTGGGGTGTTAACCCTAGAAAGCTTCAGAGTTAGTCTGAGGAGAGATGTATTTCTTCTCTTGCTTTCCTCTCCTTTCATAAAAAACCACATGGCGGAAACCCATCCCTTTTTTTTTTTTTTTTTTTGGTTAGGAGAGAAAGCCACACACTAACCCTTCATCCTCTTCGTTATTACTGAGCAACCCAGGGCAGGCGCTTTAAGTGCATACAGGTTGTTCATGATCTTTAGTATCATTGTAATCTCACAACAACACATGGGTGTCCTGATCAACATGCGAAGGGCTGGTCTACAGATGGGGAAATAGAGGCTCAGGGAGAGAAGTTGAAGCCATTGTCCTTTCTGGCCCTTGTGTGGCTGCATGTCTCCACAGCTCTACTCTGACAGGCTTGAGCAGCCGGCTTTGCTGCTGCCATCACTGAAAGCCCAGTATAAAGTCATTTGGATGATTTTAGTCATTATTTCCATCATCTGTTGAACCTCGGAATAGGCTTTAAGTCATTATTCTTTCTCTCCTCACGATTTGGTTTATTTTTGGAAGTGAAATCAATGGATTGTCTTTTGCTTTCTTTCAGAAACCTCTTTGCTGCGTTTCTAACCACACCCAGGAGTAGGCATGTGGTAGATGCTCATGGAATGTATGACAGCCCCTCTCTGGCTCAGTTTCCTAATGGGCCAGATGATAACTACGCTCCTGTACTGTGCAGGTCTCATTGTGTTATTATTAAGTTCACTGCTTGGCAGAGATAACATGTTAACTCATAGTAATAAATAACTATGAATATGTGACTTCAGCTTCTAATACAGTACCTAGTCCATAGTAGGAGCTCAGTAAATGTTTGTTGAATGATGAAGTATATAATCACATGGTTATCTGGGAGCAGTACCACCCAGGCAAGCGGAGCACCTGCCTTAGGTCCTGGGCCTCAGGTGTCTTGCACTTTATTTATTTATTTAATTTTTTTTCTTGAGACAGAGTCTTGCTTTGTCACCCAGGCTGGAGTGCAGTGGCACGATCTCGGCTCACTGCAACTTCTGCCTCCTAGGTTTGAGTGACTCTTGTGCCTCAGCCTCCCATGTAGCTGGGATTACAGGCGTGTGCCACCATACCTGGCTAGTTTTTGTAATTTTGGTAGATACAGGGTTTCATCATGTTGACCAGGCTGGTCTTGAAGGGGTCTTGTACTGTAGAATGCTGTCCTTAACATCTTCTAAGCCCTTCCAGTGACCAAGACTGGCCAAGGCCAGCAGTGCCAACCAGACAGGGTGCTCTAGGCCCAACCTCCACCATGTCAGCCCCTGTCCCTGTTTTCTCTCCTTTGGAATGCTCTTCAATTCGCTTCTTAGTACAGGGGGTCGACCAGATGCCCTAGGAGACCTCTAAGGTTTACACCTATGAGATTGTCTCAGGGACCCCTGACCAGGCCCAATTCCAAAAGGGCTACTGGGAGAAAGGATCTTTACTTCCAGCCAGAGAGTATTTCTTTTGCAGTATCACATGAAGTTGGGTGATCAGAATGCTGCTTAAAGATTGATTTTAGGTAACTCAAATTATTTATATATACAGGGACCCCACAGAAAACATTTGCATAGGCCTTCACATGCCTTAGGGCTAACCATGTCTAATAGATCATCATTCATTCATTCAGGCAGTCATTCAATGAATTCATGCCTTCAACTGACCCCTCAATTAACTAGTGTAGGCCCTATGATAAGTGCTATGCTATTATTATTATTATTATTAGCAGAGTGAACACATGCATCGGACCCCAGGCAAAGAAGTGGAGAACACACCCAGTGTGTGAGTTGGTTAGCAACGTACAGTAGGTCATTCCCACAGAGGACATAACATTGGAACTTAGGTCTTAAAGAACGGCCAGAATTTTTCCAGGAGGGACACGTCATGTTTACGGAGGAGAAAATAATTCTATGGGTCTAAAGGCTGCAGAGAGGGCTGGGAAGAGATGGCACACGAGCTGGAAAGACAGATGTGGCCACAACATGAAGGACCTGTTGTCAGGCTGAGGTTTCTGCACATCTTTTCTGAAGACATTAGAGAGCAATTAAATGTTTTTTAGCCAGGAGGGAGATGGTTAGATATCTAGATTAGAAAGTTCATCCCAAGGGCTGGGTGTGGTGGTTCACGCCTGTAATCCCAGCAATTTGGGAGGCAGAGGCGGGCGGACCACATGGTCAGGAGTTCAAGACCAGCCTGGCCAACATAGTGAAATCCCGTCTCTACTAAAAATACAAAAAATTAGCCAGGAGTGGTGGCAGGTGCCTGTAATCCCAGCTATTTGGGAGGCTGAGGCAGGAGAATCACCTGAACCTGGGAGGCGGAGGCTGCACTGAGCCAAGATTGCGCCACTGCACTCCAGTGCGAGACTCCGTCTCAAAAAAAAAAAAAAAAAAGAGAAAGTTCATCCCAATTGGCTGTGGGCTGTGTGGATATTGGGTTGGAGGAAAGCAAAACAGGAGTCAAGGTGACTCCTCTGGAAGGTCCAGCCAGGTACAAGGCAACCAGCGCCTGGTGAAATGTGGCAACCCCAAGAAAGGAGGGGCTGGGAAGTCACAGATAGTTCCCAAACTCTGAAAGATTCTGAGAAGCAGAGTCAATATCTCCTCTCCACGAGGTTGGCTTCTTTTGTAATCCAGCTGCCTGGCTGAGCACTTTCTCTTTTCTTTCCTTCCTAATCACTTTCCCCTTCTCTCCTAATCTGATGACATGAGACCAGCTGTTGAAACAAGACTCTCTTCTGGATGGAGAGGAAGCTGAAATCAACAGTATCCTAGGCAGTCCATGCTTAGGAAGACCTTCCCAGAAAAGCCTGCAGAGCCTAGGTGGAGGCAGGGATTATGTGTTCAGTCTGCATGGAAAAGCTTCTGGACTTATCCCAAGGGGCTCGGCTGAGCAGTTCAGAGACCTTCAGAGTGGCCTCAGGCAGGTGGCCCCAGCTTCTTCGAGAGCGCAGGAGAGGGGCCTGTGGTTTCTCTTTCATGACATGCACCCACTGCGCTGGTCCGAGAACCCCCTGCAGGATTCGTCTTCGCCCCAGGGTGTATGGATCCCCATCAGGACTGGTTGCATCTCTGGAAATGACCTCAGTCTTTGGAATATTTGTTCTTTTTGGCTTATCAAACAATGTCCTCATTTTGCCAGAGGAAAAGGGAAAGAGACTCTCTGAATGAGCAGGCCATCCTTTGTTCTGGGCCCATAAATCTGGCGCGAGCACATGTCCAGCTTTCCCGCCCCCCACTGCATCATTGTCCCACTGCTGATTAATAGGTCAGAGCTAACTTTAAACTGGCATTTCCTGACCAGCCCCTCTCCCTGCCTTCGACCCTGCCTGGCTGTTCTTTAAAAATCTGCTGTATTTTAGAACATGGTTTCACTCTGTCCCGCGGCCTCCGCCTCACACTGTGTTCCAAGGTGACTGCGTTAAGTCTGGTCAAAGCAGTCTGTGCTATTCCTGAGTTGGCAGAATAAGGGCTGAGGCAGAGGGGTGGGCGCACAGCTGAGTTCGGACTGTCTCAGGGTGTTTGAGCCACCGCTGGCCTATCTAGTCTCAGAAGCACATACCAGGGCATGATCAGAAGGGCTGCGTGGAGAGAGGATGTGACAACAAGTATGACATGGTGTTTTATTTTGCCTTTGTTTTTCTTCATGTCCTGCGACTGTGTGGTGTCTCAACCATGCAAAATAATGTAGAAGAGTGGGTCCCAACATGAAGATGTTCTTGATGTTGACTGAGAAAGGTAGGATACAAAAGTTGAGTATCTCTATTATCTAGCCAGATAGTTTTTATGGTAACTATGTTGTACTTGGTTAACAAGGAGGTATTCCTCAAAAGTGGCTTTAGTTTGAGTTGTCTCTTTTGTTTTGTTTTTGGAGATGGAGTCGGACTTTGTCATCCAGGCTGGAGTGCAGTGGCACGATCTCGGCTCACGGCAAGCTCCTCCTCCTGGGTTCAAGCAATTATCATGCCTCAACTGCCCAAGTAGCTGGGATTACAGGCACGCGCCACCACATCTGGCTAATTTTTGTATTTTTTGTAGAGATGGGGTTTCACCGTGTTGACCAGGCTGGTCTCGAACTCCTGACCTCATGATCCGCCCACCTCAGCCTCCCAAAGTGCTGGGATTACAGGCGTGAGCCACCGCGCCCGACCTGAGCTGTCTCTTAACTCTGGGCTAAGCCACAGCATCTCCACCTATGACTACAACCTCCTGCTTGTCAAGAACCCAGTTAATAAGAATTCCAACGGCATTTCCTACCTTAGGCAGTCAGGCTGAAAACCAGCTCATGGGACAGTAACGGCCACATATTGAAAACCTACTGATATCAGGCTGCAGCAGAGGGAAGCTAAAGCATCTTACGCAGATTATCTCACTTAGGAGTTGCAACAACACATTGTTATCCCCACATTACAGGGAGGACATGAAATTCAGAAGAGGATAAGAAGCTGGTCCACGGTCATACAGCTAGTCCGTGAGAGTGGAAATGTCAATCCAGGTGTTTCTGATGACAGTAGCTGTGCTCTTCCTAGTGTTCTGTTTTCCTGATGGCCAACCTAGGATTCCAAAAACAAAATTACCTTGCAAAATGCTCAAGAAGCAGCCAGGCACGGTGGCTCACGCCTGTAATCCCAGCACTTTGGGAGGCTAAGGGGGGTGGATCATGAGGTCAGGAGTTTGAGACCAGCCCGGCCAACATGGTGAAACCCCGTCTCTACTAAAAATACAAAAATTAGCCAGGCGTGGTGGGGCATGCCTGTGATCCCAGCTACTCAGGAGGCTGAGGCAGGAGAATCGCTTGAATCTGGGAGGTGGAGGTTGCAGTGAGCTGAGATTGTGCCATTGCACTCCAGCCTGGGTGACAGAGTGAGACACCATCTCGAAAAAAAAAAAAAAAAAAAAGTTAAAAAAAAATGCTCAGGAAGCTCAGCGAGAGACAGACCTTCCGCATGTCTGCATCTGCTGGTAACTGAGAGCCTGGCTGGAAGGCCGGGGAGGTTGAAAAAGTGATGAGTTCCGCTGTGCAGCCACAGGGGTATCCCTTACACTCAATGAATATGCCTCTTTTACTTCAGCTTGGGGTCTGAGACAACTGCGTACTTCTGGACCCCTAAGCCTTTCACAGTAGTGACATCAAGGATAATGAAGCGCACAGAGCTCTCGTGGCCTGTTTCTCTGTTTTTCCCCCACATTGTCAGCTGCCCAGGAAAATGGATTCACCGTAAATAAACAGGCTCCCAAGCATCCAACAGAAACAAACAATGAGTGACATTGAGCAAATCTAGTTAGTATCTTCAAAAATCCTGGTTTTGGGAAGCCCTAATTCCTTCCACATTTCAATCACTGGACTCTTGGAATTAATAGTGTTCTAGATTGGTGGCACAAAAGACTGAGATACACTGAAATCACTCATGAGACATTTTTTTAAAAAGGCAAAATAAAACAATCTGTTATCCTTGTCACACACCCTCTTTCTGTGCAGTCTCCCAGTGGTGTTTAGGTGTGATCATCCAAGATGAGATGTGCCAGAGTTACTATTGAAACTTTTGAAATTATGATATCCAAAAAGAAAAATACAAAAACCACCCTCAATCTCATCACAAAGATAAATCTGTTGTTGACATTTTGGTGTATTTTTCTGTAGTGTGTGTGTGTGTGTGTGTGTGTGTGTGTGTGTGTACACATCTATCCATAGGGCCAGACAATAGATACACCATTATGCCTTCGAATCCATGAGGCACTGGTTCTAGGACCAAAATCCACAGACATTCAAGTTCCTTATCTAGATAAAATGGTGTAGTATTTGCATATATCCCATGCGCATCCTCCCATATACTTTAAATTATCTTTAGATTACTTTTAATACCTAATACAATGTAAATGCTATGTAAATAGTTGTTATACCATATTGTTTAGGGAATAATGACAAAAAACTCTGTATGTGTTTAATACAAACAAGGCCATCCTTTTATTTATTTATTTTAATTTTGTTTTTTTTTTTTTTTTTTTTTTTTTTTTTTTTTTTTGAGACGGAGTCTCGCTCTGTCGCCCAGGCTGGAGTGCAGTGGCGCAATCTCGGCTCACTGCAAGCTCCGCTTCCCGGGTTCACGCCATTCTCCTGCCTCAGCCTCCCGAGTAGCTGGGACTACAGGCGCCCGCCACCGCGCCCGGCTAATTTTTTGTATTTTTAGTAGAGACGGGGTTTCACCTTGTTAGCCAGGATGGTCTCGATCTCCTGACCTCATGATCCACCCGCCTCGGCCTCCCAAAGTGCTGGGATTACAGGCGTGAGCCACCGCGCCCGGCCTGTTTTTTGTTTTTTGTTTTTTGAGATGGAGTCTCTTTCTGTTGCCCAGGCTTGAGTGCAGTGGCATGATCTTGGCTCACTGTCACCTCCGCTTTCCAGGTTCACGGAATTCTCCCTGCCTCAGCCTCCCGAGTAGCTGAGATTACAGGTGCCTGCCACCATGCCCAGCTAATTTTTTTTTTTTTTTTTTATGGAGTCTCGGTCCCATCACGCAGGCTGGAGTGCAGTGGTGCGATCTCGGCTCACTGCAATCTCCACCTCCTGGGTTCAAGTGATTCTCCTTCCTCAGCCTCCCAAGTAGCTGGGATTACAGGTGTCCGCCACCACACCCGGCTAATTTTTTTATTTTTAGTAAAGATGGGCTTTTGCCATGTTGGCCAGGCTGGTCTCGAACTCCTGACCTCAGGTGATCCACCCGCCTCGGCCTCCCAAAATGCTAGGATTATAGGCATGAGCCATTGTGCCTGGCAGCCCCCCTAATTTTTGTATTTTTAGTAGAGGCGGGGTTTCTCCATGTTGGCCAGGCTGGTCTCGAACTCCTGGACTCAAGTGATCTGCCTGCCTCGGCCTTCCAAAGTGCTGGGATTAAGGAATGAGCCACCACGCCCAGCCGATTCTAAAATATTTTTGATCTGGGATTGGTTGAATCCATGGATGCAGAGCAGAACCCCCAGATACAGAGGGCTGACTGTACTCAAATAGGATTATAATATACATACCCTTTTGTATGCTGCCTCACTCAGTCAACATCAAGAACACCTTTCTGCATCAGTACCTTCTTCCACAACATCATTTTGCATGGTTGAGTAGTATTCTGTTACATGGATGTATCATAACATTTTAAACCCACTTCCAATTTTGCTGACTACCGATTTTGGTTAGTCTCAAGCATTTATTTATTGAGTCCTTTCCATGTGCTGAATGCTTTGCAAATCCAATGACTTGATGGGAGGCAGTGCCTGGTGATGGAGAGGCTTCCATTCAAATTCCATCACTGTTCTTTACTAGCTCTTTGACTAAGTTACTGAACTTCTCTGGGTCTCAGCTACCTCCTGTGGAGAATATGGGTAATGGTACTCTCCTTAAAGGACAATGGTAAAAATGAAGTGAGAAAAGATACAGAGTGTGGCCAGCAAATGGTAGCTGTCACTGCTGCAGTGGAGGGTGTCCTGTCCCACTTGAGGGAAAGTGGTCAGAGACAGTGTCTGTGTGGGACTCAGAACCCAGGGTTAGCCCTGAAGGGACACAGTTGGGCTGAACAGACAAAGTGGGGAGACTTGCAAACACCTGCTTTGGAATCCATAATCCATTGCCCTGGGCCTCTGCTTTCGTTATCCAATATGGAGCCAGGAGTCTGGGGAAGGACAAATGGTAGAGACTGCAGTGGAGAAGTGCTATTGACAAATTTGTTGGCATCCGGGCACTGAAGTGGGAATAGGAACTGTGGACCTTGCCGGCTGGGTTTGCTTAAGGTTATGGTGCTCCAGGTTGACTGTGGAGGTGACTCTAGGCCTTTCAGCTTCCTCCAGCTAAGCATTAGATAGGAGTTAAGGGCTTAGGTTGGAAAGTCTCAGACAGATCTAAGATCCAGTCCCTGCTCTGTCATTTCTCTGATATTCAATCTCCTTATATATAAAATTGAGACAATAATACTTCCTCGGCTTGTTGTGGTGGCTCACACTTGTAATCCCAGCACTTCGGAAAGTGGAGGTGGGTGGATCACCTGAGGTCAGGAGTTCAAGACCAGCCTGACCAACATGGTGAAACCCCATCTCTACTAAAGATACAAAAAATTAGCTGGGTGTGGTGGCGCATGCCTGTAATCCCAGATACGTGGGAGGCTGAGGCAGGAGAATTGCTTGAACCTGGGAGGCGGAGGTTGCAGTGAGCTGAGATGGCGCTACTGCACTCCAGCCTGGACGACAGAGCCAGACACCATCTCAAAAAAAAAAAAAAAAAAAAAAAAAACCAGCCTCATAGGGAGGCTATGAAGATAATGTGAGCTAATGTATGTGAAGCTGACACCAGCTCAGGGCTAACCTGAAAACATACAATAGGTGGTGACTGCAGGTTTTCTTATCTACTTGTCCTACTTTTCCCACCTGCTCAAAGAAGCTGTACCTGCCGGGCATGGTGGCTTATGCCTATAATCCCAGCACTTTGGGAGGCTGAGGCGGGCAGATCACCTGAGGTCAGGAGTTCAAGACCAGCCTGCCAACATGGAGAAACCCTGTCTCTACTAAAAAATACAAAATTAGCCGGGCGTGGTGATGCATGCCTGTAATCCCAGCTACTTGGGAGGCTGAGGCAGGAGAATCACTTGAACCCAGGAGGCGGAGGTTGCGGTGAGCTGAGATCATGCCATTGCACTCCAGCCTGGGCAAAAAGAGCGAAATTCTCTCAAAAAACAAACAAACAAACAAACAAACAAAAAACAAAAAGCTGTACCTTCCAAAAAGCCTCTCCTTGGTTCATGCAGATTTTGCCAATGGCCTGGTGTTTAGAGAGGAGGCAACGGCAGGAAATCAGGGATGAAGGGAAAAGGGAGGACGAAGTCTGAGCTTGAATCCTTCAAACAAACCTTGAGATTCAAGGTTCTGTTCCAGGCTGGATAGAGACTACTGGGAGATGGCTATGATCTGTGACCACACAGCTGGTGTGAGACTCGGGAGAGATGCTCTGAAGAAAAAAATAGCCCAGCAGCCTTGGGATTTTACACAATTTTTGCCTGGAGAAAGGATGCAAACCCAGACAACTTTTTGAGGTTTTTCTCCAGGATCTGCAGATGGCTTTAACACCAAGGCAGTGGTTCTCAAAGTGTATTCCACAATGAGATGAGCACAAACACTGAGAGCAAATGAGTGCATGGGAAATTTTGTAACTATTTGACAGTCATGTTATGTGTGTTCAATCTAATATAAAAAGGCTGAGTCTGTGTGTATTTTGTATGTCCTTTAAATTTTTACATTTCTAGTAATTCATTATGTTTTACAAATAATGTTTACAAACTAATCTGTGCTAGATTAGTTAATTAAAGCAAAACAAAACAAAACTTACCCTCCCCAAAGATGCATGGAGAAGTGCTGCTTCGGGCCACTCTATAAATGTCACACATTGCTCTCCCTGGAGTTCCCAGCATTTTCACTTTCAGGGGCAAAAGTGAATGATGTATCAGAAAGAGCCCTTGGTTCTTGGCCTCCCCACGCCAGTCTAGCTGTGTGGTCTTGGAAAACCTCCCCTATGATCACTTTCATTATTTGTAAAATGAGGGTAATAAAACCCACCACATGGGATATAGTGAGATTCAATCTAGGGAAAGAGCATAATTGGATCTCTGGCCTATGATAGGTACTAAAGAATATTTGTTCCTTTTTTCTTTTCCCTTTGCAGTTTATTTGCATGTAGAAAAACTTAAGTGTTCTGCTTTCTTGGTCTCTTAAAAAGTATTTCCACCCATCCTAGTCTTTGCTTGTCCTAGGCTAATGGTGGTTCTTGCAATTTCCATCATAATGGTTCCAGTATTTTACATACATTTGCCTTTCCTTACAATGAGCCTGCTAGGCAGGAATAGTTTTTTTATTTTGAAAAAGAGAAAAGTGAAGTCAGAGAGTTTGAATGGCTTGCCCAAACTCATAGGGCTGTGACCAACAGTTGAAATCCAGGCCTGTCCAACTACTCAGCAACTTCAGATGGGTGTCCCTTCGTGGCCTTGACTTTCACAGTCACTGGCCCTCCCTTTCTCTTACCATTTTCTCTTTCATGCATAGGTAGTTGTTCTGAGGGCAATGGTCAGATGTTCAGTAAGCCCAGGAGGATCAGGGACACTTGTGATCAGAGCCAACGGTGTGTGGGGATCGGCAGCCTTTGCATTTCAGCAGTTACTGCAGCAAAGAAACAGAGAGGAAATCAAAGTGCATAGGAATGCCAGGGCCTCCCTGCTGCTCCCGCCCCATCTGCTCAGGTAGGGTCACTGAGGATGTTTCAGGATAGGTCTTCTTTCTTGACTCTGGAAATGAAACTCCTGTCATGTTTAGCTGTGGACACATCTGCCATGCAGCTGGTCTTGTTGCACAATGTATGCTTCTCACCAGCTCCCTCTGGTCTTGCCACCAGCAGGGGACACGATCCTTTTTCTTGCTCAAGGCTGAGCTGCAGTGATGAAAATAGACTTCCCCCAACCTACCCCAACCCGGTGAAGAGAAGTGGTTCTACTGTGCCTCTGTGAAGGATCTGCTGGATGGGGGTGATGGAGGGAGCCCCTGCTAGAAGGTCAGAGAGAACTGGGTTTCAGTTCCAGCTCTATCTGATCTTCTTGCCAAGCTTCTGCTTTCTCACTGGTAAATGGAGACAAGAATATGACTTATCTCATGGTGGGAATTAAGTAGGTAAGGTTTATTGTAGGGCCTGGTCATAATAGCAGCAAACCCTTCTAGGATGCAGACACATTGTCAGGCACTGTTCTAGGATGTTACCAGAAAGGGGTCCCAATCCAGACCCCAAGAGAGGGTTCTTGGACCTTGTGCAAGAGAGAATTTGGGGCAAGTCCATAAAGTGAAAGCAAGTTTATCAGGAAAGTAAAGGAATAAAAGAATAGTTATTCTATAGGCAGGGCAGCGGTGTGGGCTGTTTGACTGAGTATACTTATGGTCATTTCTTGATTCTATGCTAAACAAAAGGTGGATTATTCATGAGTTTTCTTGGAAAGGGGTGGGCAATTCCCGGAACTGAGGGTTCCTCCCCTTTTTAGACCACAGAGTGTAACTTCCTGATGTTGCCTTGGCATTTATAAACTGTCATGGTGCTGGTGGGAGTGTCTTTCAGCATGCTAATGTATTATAATTAGCATATAATGAGCCGTGAGGATGAGCAGAGGTCACTTTCATGGCCATCTTGGTTTTGGTGGGTTTTGGCCAGCTTCTCTACTGTATCCTGTTTTATCAGCAAGGTCTTTGTGACCTATATCTTGTGCTGACCTCCTATCTCATCCTGTGACTAAGAATGCAGCCCAGTAGTTCTTAGCTTTATTTTACCCAGCCCCTATTCAAGATGGAGTCACTCTGGTTCAAACGCCTCTGAGATAAGGGCCTTGTTTATTAATTTATTTCATCCTCACCACAAACTTTATGGGCAGGTGTTATTATTATCTTCACTTTGAAGAAGAGGAAACTGAAATAGAGGAGGATGATGTAATTTACAGTGAGTAAGTGACGAACCAAGGTTCAGTCTGGGAAGCCCGCGTCTTTAGCTATGATCCCATACTGTATCTCACTACGGTGTGTGGTAAGCCAGTGCGTGTGAAGTCCTTTCTATTCCCTTAAGCAAGTCACGTTTTCCTGCCAGAACAGGATCTGTCCTATGAGAGTTGACACATGAAAGCCAAATACGAAAAATCAGGGTGGAGATTCACAGTCACCTTAAAAAGATTCTCAGGCCAGGCATGGTGGCTGACACCTGTAATCCCAGCACTTTGGGAGGCCAAGGCAGGTGGATCACAAAGTCAGGAGTTCGAGACTAGCCTGGCCAACATGGTGAAACCCTGTCTCAACAAAAAATACAAAAATTAGCCAGGTGTGGTGGCATGTGCCTGTAGTCCCAGCTACTTGGGAGAATCTCTTGAACCCAGGAAGCAGAGGTTGTAGTGAGCCAAAATTGTGCCACGACACTCCAGCCTGAGCGACAGAGAGAGACTCAGTCTCAAAAAAAAAAAAAAAAAAAAAAGAAGAAGAAGAAAAGATTCTCCCAGAACAGCAGGACTAGTCAATAATGGGACTGAGGTATTTATGTACTAGAAGAAGGAGTGGAACATTGAAAGGGGTTTCACCATCCATGAAAGGCAGGATATGAGGTGAAGCCAGAGTCTTGACCAATAATAGACCTTGAGAATGATCATTCCAAGGACACAACTACCCCTATTGAGTCCATCTGCCATAGGAAAGAGGATGTTTGATGGGGATGACTTGAGTTGCTGGTTTACCTGACAGCTGGCTCTGTCTCTGTGTAAATAAATGCACATCCATCTCTTTGAGCTTGGTTGATATGAATCGTCTTTGAGAGACTAATCTATTCTTCTTGTTCTAATCAAATCAGGTGGGTTTTTTTTCTTTCTTTTTTCTTTTTTCTTTTTTTTTTTTTTGATGGAGTTTCACTTTTGTTGCCCAAGCTGGAGTGCAATGGTATGATCTTGGCTCACTGCAACCTCCGTCTCCCAGGTTCAAGCAATTCTCCTGCCTTAGCCTGAGTAGCTGGAATTACAGGTGCATGCCACCACGCCTGGCTAATGTTTTGTATTTTTAGTAGAGATGGGGTTTCACCATGTTAGCCAGGCTGTTCTTGAACTCCTGACCTCAGGTGATCCACCCACCTCAGCCTCCCAAAGTGCTGGGATTACAGGTGTAAGCCACCACAGCTGGCCAAATCAGGTTTTTGAAATGAAAAGGCATAGGCCCAATTCTGAAGTAGGTGGATTTCATAGAAAGTAATAAAATAAATGTAGAATGCTGTGGCTCCTCAGTGACAGCCAATTGGACTTCTTTAGACAATATTGTTCAGGCTGCCATGCACATCACCATCTGTCACCCGTTGGCCCTCTGTAGAGCCACGCACGTTGCCCTTGGGTCTTCTATGGAGGTAATTGATTCTGGTTTTGGCTCATGCATGTTTTCCCTGGAAGCTCTGCATAGTTTTGAAGTTCTCTCTTGTCTAGCTTAAAAACCTGTGGGCCTGTTGCTCTGAACTTTTGCTCCTATTCTGCATTTTAGTCTGCTTTTTCTTCTACAGGACAGCCCTTCAAAGATTTTTGATGACAGTCTTGTTACTCACAGACCATTTTCTCAAGCGGCTCTCTTCCCTTTCTCACGTGGGGTCCAGAACCTTCCTTGGCCCAGTTATTGACTACTTTTCCACAAGGTTGGTGAATTGCAGCATGGTTATCTAAGGGCAAAAGAGAATGGACAGGGATCCTACAAGGGGTCTGGGGTATCCCTGGAGCTGAAGCAAGGCATTTCAAGGGTGATTTATGTTTCATCTTAGTGATGATGATGCAGAAATTTTACTTTTCATTTCTAATTTAATCTGTGGTTGTATAATAGAAATATAACATTGTCTTTAAAAAACTTTATTAAAAATTTAAAAAAAAATAGAGACAGGGTTGGCCGGGCGTGGTGGCTCATGCCTATAATCTCAGTACTTTGGAAAGCCGAGGTGGGTGGATCACCTGAGGTCAGGAGTTTGAGACAAGCCTGGCCAACATAGTGAAACCCCATTTCTACTAAAAATATAAAAATTAGCTGGGCAGGGTGGCAGGGGCCTGTAGTCCCAGCTACTTGGGAGCTTGAGGCAGGAGAATCACTTGAACTTGAGGGAGGATGGAGGTTGCAGGGAGCCAAGATTGTGCCACTGCACTCTATCCTGGGCATCAGAGTGAGACTCCACCTCAGAAAAAAAAAAAAAAGAGAGAGACAAGGTCTCAATATGTTGCCCAGGCTGGTCTCAAACTCCTGGACTTGAATAGTCCTCCTGCCTCAGCCTCTGAAAGTGCTGGGATTACAGGCATGAGCTACTATGTGTAGCTTCTTTCCTCTATCTTATTCCACCGCATTGGTTCAGGACTAGTTATGCCTGGGATAAAAAAGCTCTGATGTAGGTCAGTGAGTCCCAGCCTGTAGGTCACGAGTCGCTCAGTGTGGTTTATAAGTTGTGTCAACAAGGTAGCTCCCATTGCTTCAGTCAGTGTCAGAAAGTAGGGTTGCAGTGAAAGGGGCCGGCAGGGAGAAGAGTTATGCAGAATTTTGGCAGGATCTGTCAACATTGCTAATGTCCCAGCAGTCCTACTTAAGGGATCTAACACATGAGAATGTCATTACTGTGTGCAAACTTGTGTGTGTGTGTGTAAGAGTGGTCACTGTAGCATGGCTTAGAAGGGCAGCAGTGTCAAGTTATGGTCCAGTAAACTGTAATATTGGGGACGTACAGAGGTATACTGTTTTTGTTTGTTTGTTTGTTTGTTTTTGAGACAGAGTTTCGGTCTGTCGCCCAGGCTGGAGTGCAATGGCGCGCGATCTCAGCTCACTGCAAGCTCCGCCTCCCAGGTTCACGCCATTCTCCCTTCTCAGCCTCTGAGTAGCTGGGACTACAGGTGCATGCCACTACACCCAGCTAATTTTTTTTTTTTCGTATTTTTAGTAGAGACGGGGTTTCACCGTGTTAGCCAGGATGGTCTCGATCTCCTGACCTCGTGATCCTCCCGCATCGGCCTCCCAAAGCACTGGGATTACAGGCGTGAGCCACCGCCCCCGGCCGGAGGTATACTGTTTCAAAGGTTGAGAGGAATGGAGTGAGTCTAAATGTGCTGACTTGGAAGCTTGTCCAAGGAATATTTTAGATTACTTTTATCTTATTTATTTATTTTTTTCTTGAGACGGAGTCTCACACTGTCACTGGGGCTGGAGTGCAATGGCGTGATCTCGGCTCACTGCAACCTCTGCCTCCCAGTTTCACATGATTCTCCTGCTTTACCCTCCTGAGTAGCTGGAATTACAGGAGCACACCACCACACCTGGCTAATTTTTTGTATTTTTAGTAGAGATGAGGTTTCACTATGTTGGTCAAACTGGTCTCGAACTCCTGACCTCGGGATCCACCCACCTCGGCCTCCCAAAGTGCTGGGATTACAGGCGTGAGCCACCACGCTGGGTCTACATTACTTTTATTTTAAAAATTAATTAATTAATTATTTCAGACAGGGTCTTGCTCTGTTGCCAGGCCAAAGTGAAGTGGCACCATCACAGCTCATTGCAACCCTAACTTCTCAGGCTCAAATGATCTTCTGATCTCAGCCTCCTTAGTAGCTGAGACTATAGATGCACAGCACCATGGCTGACTAATTTTTACAAAAATTTTTTGTAGAGATGGGTCTCACTATGTTGCCCAAGTTGATCTCACACCCCTGGGCTCAAGCAATCCTCCTGCCTCAGCCTCCCAAAGTGCTGGGATTACAGATATGAGCCACTGCGCTTGGCCTATTTTAAAGTGGAAAAAAAAAAAGGCTTCAGAACATTCTGAGCCTGGGCAGTATAAGAAGGCAACATCTCTACAAAAAATTAAGTTTAGCTGGGTGTGGTAGGATGTGCCTGTAGTCTTAACTACTCAGGAGCCTGAGGCAGAAGGATCACTTGAGCCCAGGAGTTTGAGGCTGCAGTGAGCTGTGATCATGCCACTGCACTCTAGTCTGGGCAACAGAAGAAGATCCTATCTCAAAAAAAAAAAAAAAAAAAGGGATAAAATAAAAAGAACGTTCTGTATAATGTGATTCCATTTCTGGTTTGAAAAATTATACATGTTGTAAAGTCATAGAGAAATATCTAGAAGAAAATGTATAAAGTGATTACCTTGTATGACCTTTGGAAGATGGAAGATGGGGTTAACAAAGTTTTGTGGGAAATATATTTTTCATTTTTTTTCTTTTTCTGTTTTTATTTTTTAGAGACAGAGTCTTGCTCAGGTCCTTGCCCAGGCTGGAGTGTAGTGCAATTCACTGCAACCTTGAATTCCTGGGCTCAAGCAATCCTCCTGCCTCAGCTTCTTGAGTAGCTAAAGCTACAGGTATGCACCACCATGTCCAGCTAATTTTTTAAAACTTTTTTTTTTGTTTGCTTTTGTTTTTGTAGAGACAGGGCCCTACTATTTTGCCCAGACTACTCTTGAACTCCTGAGCTCAAGTGATCCTCCTGTCTTGGCCTCCCAAAGTGCTGGAATTGGAGGGGTGAGTTACTGCGTCCTGCCTCCGTTATATTCTTTATAGGTATTTTCTATAGATTTTTTTTTCCTTTTATATTTCCATTTTGTTTGCTGGAGGGCTTATTGCTTTTGTGGATAAAGCCAATGCTTTCTAAAAAGGAACACAATAAACTGTGTTTATATTTGTTTATCTCCTAATAATAGGTTTTAGAGTTATAAAACTCATGTATTATGACACAAATTCAAAAAGTATTAAAAGTTATACAATGAGTAGTAGGTCTCCTTACCATGCCGATTTTCAGTCTCATCTCCAGAATTTCTGTGCAAATACAATCAAGTATATAATAAAATGCCCCTTCAGAAAACATTCATGCACAAATGGGACGCCCTGGTGTGCTACACTGTGCATTTTTTTAACTTTACAATATATCACATAGAGCTTTTCCTATAATGACATATGCAGATTATGGTGCGGTTGTTCTATAAGTGATTTACCAGGCATTTAGGCTATTTTTTATGTTTTGAGATGGAGTTTCACTGTGACCCAGGCTGGAGTGAAGTGGCGCAATCTCAGCTCACTGCAACCTCCATCTCCCAGGTTCAAGTGATCCTTCTGCCTCAGCCTCCCGAGTAGCTGGGATTATAGGCGTGCGCCACCTTACCTAGCTAATTCATGTGTTTTTGATAGAGACGGGGTTTCGCCATGTTGGCCAGGCTGGTCTTGGACTCCTGACCTCAAGTGATCCACCCGCCTCAGCCTACAAAGTGCTGGGATTACAGGTATAAGCCACTGTGCCCAGCCCATTTAGGTTATGTTTTTTTCTATTATAAACAATGTTGTAAATGATGTGTGTGGCATATACATATAACAGGATGTTAAAATGGAACTCTTTAAGTCTCAGTTTCCGGCTGAGACTGCAAATCGCTAGAAACCATACAATAGGTACTTGAATATCTCCCTCCCCAATGTTAAATGAGGTGCTAGACCACCTTGGCAGGCCCTGGTATTCTGCCAGCATGGACCATCCTTTGCCTGACACCAGCCTTCAGAGGCTGGGAGGGGAGGCAGTCTCTGGTGAATCCTGTCACAGTGTCTTTTGTCTCTCCCCACCCTCATCTCCCAGGAGAGGGTCGGCTGGAGAAAGCCAACTGAGAAAGCCTGAAAGGGAGAGCTCAGCGTTGGTCCCTGGAACCTGAATTTGGGAGCTTAAGACCAGGAAAGAGAAGCTGAGGCTGGGCTGGCCTGAGGTGACAGAGAGAGAAAAAGAGAGAACACCCTTCCTCCTCCCGGGAGCAAGGGAGCGTCCACCAGCAGAGGAGAGCAAAAAGCCCTGTTGTCTGGGAACCAAAAAGGGGCCAGCAGGAAAGAGATAGACTAGAGCCACCTAGAATGGGGCTTTTCCTGACAGCGCCCTTTGAAAGGCAGAGGAGGGACTGTTGGAAGCCCAACAGTCCAACAGATAGACTCAGAAAGCAGCAGCCAGGAGGAGGCCTCACTGCATTCAGGCGACTGCCAGTGAGTTCCCAAGGGCGGAATGCCTGGGGAACCTACACACACCACCCAGCCCAGAGGGCAGCATCCCCGGCTCCCAGCAGGACCAGCCTTGGGAAGCTCTGCCCCCTTCCCTATTTCCTCTTTTTCTGGGTCCTGTCCCAGGTAGGGAGATACTGAGGGTGAAGAGGTGAGAGGAAGAGGGGGGACAACCTTGTCTCCCCCTTCCCCCACAGCTGGCATTTAAGTTTGAAGCAGACCTGGGCTGAAGAAGGGAGAAATTTTCAAATGAGATTTGTTCAGAGTTCTGGCAAACATGCTGGAATGTGTGCTTTTAAATTACAGAGACTGCTCTTTGGAAATAAGGGACCCAGTGAATAAGTTCACAGGGTGAGCAAAAATAAAGCAGCATTATGATCGCCCCTTATTGAATCCAGCTTATTGGATGTCCTTTGAGAACATGTGTGATTTTATATGAGGAATAAATGTTTAGAAGTGGAATTTCTGTGTCAAGTAATACAGTATATTTTAATGTTGATAGATGTGGTCAAATTGCCCTCCAAATAATTTGTTCTTATTAACACTTTCCCAGGGGTGGATGAAAGTGGCTCCCGTTGACACCTTTTCATTTTAGTCTTTGCTACTCTACCAGATTTTTTTTTTAAAAAGATATTTCTTATATATATATTTATATATAATATATTCCATATATATGTGTATATTTCATTATGAGGGAAGTTAAAACATTTCTATTTCTTTTTCTGTGAACACCATTGCTAATGTCATTTGCCCATTCCTTTTTTTTCCTTTTGAGTTGTTGAGTTTTTTCTTTGTAATTTGTAAGAACTCTTTATATAAAAGGCATTAGTCCTTGCTCTATCACATATGTTACAAATGTTTGTCAATGTGTGCTATTGGCCTTTGATGAAAGTTATTGCACACTAACAGATTTTTAGATGTGTATGGATCCTACTGTCTAGAACGAATGCAAGTTTACTCTAGAGTGCACCTGAATTAACAGCTGGCTTTTTTCCTTTTGTATATTCATAATCAACAGGCACTGAAAGCCTAAGTAACGTCACGGGAGGTGAGGGATGGCCCTTGAGATCAAGAGGTTGGAAACCGCTAGTCTAGGCTGTACTGGACCTACCTAAACTGTGCCCAGAGCTAAGCCCAGCCCTCCTGGGTTGAAGCTCCAGCACTGATGTCTCTCATGGAGTCAGAAGTCATTAACTTACTAATTCCATATAAAACACAGCAATAGCATTTCAAGGTGGAGCCAACCAAAATGGAAGCGGAATGGCTCTCTTCCTCTCTCCCTTCTCCCTCTGCATCCCCTTCCCTTCCTCCTTTGTTTACCTCCTAAAGGGGAGAGTAAGGCAGAGAAGAAAACAAAGGGTAAGGAGAAAGGGAAGGCTCCCCATTGTGGAGAATTAAGACAACTCTCTTGCTTGGGGCTCCAGGACCCTCTCATCTGGCCACCCCTTCCTCTTCTCTGTCCCCAACATCCTGCCTCATTGTTACACCAGCCTCCTAGCTACACTCTTCCCAGGCACCCTCTGGCCTTGCCACCAGCTGCTTTCTCTGCTGAGAACTTGCTTCCCCTTCCCTGCTTTGTGGACTCTGACATTTCAAATGTCACTTCCTCTAGGAAGCTTTCCCTGGCCAGGCTGACTGAAGTGTTCCCTCCCAGGGCTCCTGTCTTTTTTACAGCACTTCTGATAGTTATATTAGAGGTGTGTGTCTCTCCCACTAACCAGGGAGGTCCTTGAAGGTACATTTGCCTGATTCATCTCTGGTTCTGCCCCAGCACCAGAGCAGCTTAGTCAATGTTCATTGAACAAAGCCCTATTTAAAGAGCAAAAGTGTGTGTTGGCAAGGCGTCCTGACAGTGCTGCTGGGACAATATCCTTCCCTGGAGGGACAGAGCACCCCAGCCAGCTTTCCCCCAGGTCGCTGTCCCCCTCCTCAAGTCCTAAGCTAGAGCCTGGCAACCCTGACTGAGTCCTGTGGATTCACATGGGAGTAATGCCTCGATGTGCAGAGGTCAACCACTGACCTCTATTGGAAGCCCCGCTCCCCATACTGGTGCCAGAGAAGAAGCAGACAAAAATTCAGAGTCACCACCTATGGAATCTCATCCCTGAGGAAAGTTCACTTAGAACAGTGGTCACTTAAACTTTGGTCACTATCAGAATCACCTAGGGAACTCTGGAAAAACAACAAGGCCCAGGCCTAATCCTACTTCAGAGAGAAGTTTGAGAACCACTGGTTTAGACAACGGTGACTCATCCAATTTCTTCAGCTACTGTGATCTGCTTATGCTTCTTCTTACAGGAGTGCTGATCCTAAAGGGTTGTGGGGCTCCTGCCTTTCCTTCCCCTCACACCTTTCCCCACTAGGTTTTAAGCAGAGTTAAGTTCACATACGAATTTGTCGTTATCCACGACAACGTTTATTTGTGCCCAACATGTATGTGTGGAATGAATACACACAGGAACAAACAAGATACTTCAGTTAGGAAGCATGTACAGCCTTCTGCTTGGAGCAACAGACCCGACACTAAGAGGGATGGAAGACAGGGTCCTGCCCTTGGGGACTGGGGATTCTGGCATCACAGTCCTGCTGTCGATCGCATGTCCCTCAGAGCTTCAGTTTCTTCAGCTCTTAAGAAGGAATAATAACGATAACAATACTATCTAGCTGCATGGCTTGGTGTGAGGATTATATAAAATAATGAGAGTGAAAGTGTTTTCTAAGCAAACTCATGAACATAAGATACCGTCACAAAGAAAAATCAATCTTACGAATAATTACAAATAAACAAATTTTGTTAAACTCTCCCTAGCCTGCACATGTTAAGATATTGAGGCCAGGTGCGGTGGCTCACGTCTGTAACCCCAGCACTTTGGGAGGCCAAGGTGGGCGGATCACGAGGTCAGGAGTTCGAGACCATCCTGGCCAATATGGTAAAACCCCGTCTCTACTAAAAATACAAAATTAGCTGGGTGTGGTGGTGGGCGCCTGTAATCTCAGCTACTCTGGAGGCTGAGGCAGGAGAATCGCTTGAACCTGGGAGGTGGAAGTTGCAGTGAGCCCAGACCGCACCATTGCACTCCAGTCTGGGCAATAAGAGCGTGACTTGGTCTCAAAAAAAAGAAAAAAAAAAAAAAGAAATTGAGCTGTTCATTTTTTCTTTAGTTTCTAAGCTCTTGCAGAGATGTGGCAAGTCACTGGTGGTTTCCTTTGGAGAGGACTTTGTTGCAAAGCCTTCTCTCCTTGCCTTGTGGTCAGCTCCATTTGCCTTCTGCCCATTCAGAGCCGTCGCAGATGCTGGTGGGCTATCCTTTGTCTCTGAGAGGCATTGAGAAGACTATACTCAAAATTTCTGATGTGCTTGCCATTTGCAAAGCATCACTTCCCTTTTAAGAGAAGAAGTTATTCTTTATCAAGAAAAAAAAATGCTTACACTTTGGATGGTTTGCACAGAAGCAGACCACATATTTTCTCAGAAATATGCAGAAATGAATGCCAGGTAAAGTTCTTGGCTTGTAAAAAATAGGATTAACCTTTGACATTTATTAATCTTTCTTAGTTTCCTGAGAACCTTCGCATCTATTTTCTCATCATTTTCTCACATTCACCCTTCAAAGTTGTTTGTGATGTTACCTGTATTTCACAGATATGAAAAGTGAGCCTCCAAAAGGAGGTAAGGAAGGCCCTCACAGGGTCTCCCAGCTAAGATGGTAGGATCACCCTTCCAAATGGGCAGAGGAAACGTTTAGGATGCTTGGGGAACCCAGCCCACTCACAGGCCAACAGCTAGAACATTTCAAGAGTGAGTCTCACCTGTTTTTTGTAAGTGAGCGCTGCAGTTGTCACTCCTCGAGGGTTGCTGAGAACACCCATCACATCTGTCAGTGTGGCTCCCATTACAGCTCAAAAGGAAGGGCCTATTATGGGGTTGTTAGTCATGCATGTATGTGTTGCTCTCTGTAATCAGCTGAATAAGAACCTCAGCCAAGAACACAGCTTTCCTCACCAGCCTTTAATGCCTGTAAAATGTGGAGAGAATTTTTCCTTGGTTGGAGTCCCTGTTCACCACAGCACCTCCTTGTCATCTGAATTTACAGCGTTTTCTTCTAGAAGGCCAATGCCTTCGCATTCAGGTCACCTGATGATCTGATTCCACTTCTTTTATTCCACATTTTCAACAAGTCCCCTTGTCTTGATGTCTGAGCTTCTCTTCCTGTAGAAGTAAAGCCCCATAGAGTCATTTCCCAAAGATCTATAAGTGTCTCCCTCTTCCAACTTCACATTGATTCTTAGTCTGGATCTTCTCCTTTAGTCCGCTGGAGAGGGACAAAGGGCAGCTGTACCAGAAAGATTTCCTGGCCTCCAATTTTTTACCCATCATCAATTTGCTCACATTATTCCCTCTCTTGGAATGTCTTCCTCTCTTTCCTTTGTTAAGTACATGTCTAGTAATTTCTTGAGGCTCAATTCCTATTCCATCTCTTCCATGTAGCCTTTTCTGATATCCCTACTAACAATAAATACTCTCTTCTTTGTACCTGCATGAGATTTTTGTTTTTTTTTTTTTTTGAGATGGAGTCTTACTCTGTCACCCAGGCTGGAGTGCATTGGTGCAGTCTCCACTCACTGCAACCTCAGCCTCCCCAGTTCAAGCGATTCTCCTGCCTTAGCCTCCATAGTAGCTGGGATTACAGGCACCCGCCACCACAACTGGCTAATTTTTGTATTTTTAGTAGAGATGGGGTCTTGCCATGTTGGCCAGGCTGGTCTTGAATTCCTGACCTCAAGTGATCTGCCCGTCTCGGGCTCCCAAAGTGCTGGGATTACAGGCATGTGCCACCACCATGTCCGGCCCCTGCATGAGTTTTTATATCTGTCATTCATCCTCATGTTTATTGTTTTACCAATCACTTTTTGAGCATAAAGTATATATCAAAATATATATTAAGCTGTGCTAATTCCAGGGAGGTCATACAGGTATTGGGAAATGAATGATGTATACAAACATATCTAAGACATTATCCTTACTTTTACACTATATTTATTTAAAAATTTTTTTCACAATAATAAATTAACTTTAGCTTACTGTGATATTTTTACTTTATGCACTTCTAATTTTTAAAAAAGTTTTTGACTCTTGTAATAACACTTAGCATAAAACACAAACATACTGTACAGTTGTATAAAAATATTTTCTTTATATTCTTATTCTATACATTTTTTCCTATTTTTAACATTTTAATTCTTATTCTATTTTAAAAGCTTTTTCATTAAAAACTAAGACACAAACACACACATTGGCCTAGGCCTACACAGGGTCAGGATCATCAATATCACTGTCTTTCACCTCGCCATCTTGTCCCACTGGAAGGTCTTCAGAGGCAGTAACATGCATGGAACTATCATCTCCTGTGATAGCAATGACTTTTTCTGGAATACCTTCTGAAGGATCTGCCTGAGGCTGTTTTACAGTTAATTTTTTAAATAAGATGGAGTGCACTCTAAAATAATCATAGAACATGTAGTATTATATATACCAGTAACACAGTCATTTATTATCATTGTCAGGTATTAGGTCAAGTACATAATTTTACGTGCTATCCTTTTATGCCACTGGCAGCACAGTAGGTTTTTTTACACCAGCATCACTGTAAACACTTGAGTAATGCATTGTACTAAGATGTTACAACAGCAACAGTGTTACTAGATCTAGTAGGAAATTTTCAGCTCCATTATAATCTTATGGGACCACCATTGTACATTTGGTTTCTTGACTAAAATGTTATGTGACAAATGACTGTATTCCTCATGGACTGTTATGCTAAATGGGACCTGTCCAGTCCTAATTTGCAGAGCAAAATTTCAGGGGCTGAGTAGACCTGGAATCCATGCCACCTCTAAGGCAGCCTGAGGTGGAGAGATGCAAGATGTGTCTGATATAAGAAAGCCCACATTGTGTTTAAGGCAAGCTAAGGCTGTGTCTCTGAGAGGATGAGGCTGAGCATCAAGATCAAAGGCAAATGTCAGCTCTCAAATGGGAAGACACATAGTGAGGAGAATGTGGAGATGCAATAGGCAGGGTGGAGTGCAGTACCAGGATAAGTGAGCCCAAGATATTAGGAGCCAAGGAGAAGACCAGGGGAGAGGTGATTAGGCTCCTGGTACGTGGTACCCGCTGGGTGGTGTAGAAAGTTAAAAACGGCTTGTTGCTCAGTTATCTTGCAAGCAGTTCCAGGTTTTTATTTGCTTCTGAAATTCTTTCTTTCTTTCTTTCTTTTTTTTTTTTTTTTTTTTTTTTTTGAGACAGAGTCTTTCTCTGTTGCCCAGGCTGGAGTGCAATGGCACTATCTTGGCTCACTGCAATTGCCACCTCCTGGGTTCAGGCAATTATCCTGCCTCTCCGTCCCAAGTAGCTGGGATTACAGGTGCCTGCCACCACGCCTGGCTAATTTTTGTATTTGAAATTATTTCTTGACAAAACTAGTACAAGTAATCTACAGATCTAGTCCAACTTGATCTCTAGGTATGTTCCAGATCCATTAATTTAACCTGTCCATTTGAATGCAGTGGTATTATTTTTAATTTTTTCTAAAAAGCAGTAGAACTATTTTTTTAAACAAAAATCTTATCTGCAATCCAACATAGAAATCAAGAGGACATAGTATAAACTTTCAACAATCAGTAGAGAACACTTCATTGTTTGCAGAACTTCTAAAGGTCTCAAGGGAATCCTAGAATCCTGTAGAGCTCCCTGGCCAAGAATTCTGTAGAAATGGCAGGCCAAGAAGCCAAGGTCAGTTCTCAGTTGAGAACTTGAAGGCTTCAATTTAAAAGCCAAGTGCCTGAAGATGAGATATTGCCATTCTTCCTGGGAACCCATCAAACCTGGAGGATTTTTTTAAAAAACATTTAGCCCATTGCTGAATGGGAATCAAGGCAATTCTGGATTATTTCTTCAGAAAAAATAAAGAACTTTAAGTTTTGTGTTTCCCTTTTCAGTCTTTTCACATCAACCAGTATCTTAACTGCAACATGCAATGTTTACCCCCGTGCTATAGAGTGTCTGACAATGAAACATGATCACCATGGAGATCATGAGCTTCATTGTTCATTGTGTTGTGAGCACAACTGATAAGGCAGGAAAACTCATTTGTCTGCAGAATGACTTACTTTGTGAAGGATGCTCACTGAAGGAACCAGAAAAGTAAACCAACAATGGAAGAGGACCCATTCGCCTAGTTAGGGACTTCCAAGAAGTCTCTTCACAGTGCTGGGGCAACAGCAACACTTGGGTCCTTTAGGCTGCATTCACCAGCTTACCCAGAATATTTGAAAATAAGAGAAAAGAGAAAGAGCACACCGTTTCTCCTGGAGGATCCATACAGAGCTGATTTTTCCTTGTTCTATTGTTGAAAGCTCACATGGATGTGGAGAAAAACTAGCAATATTATTTCTGTGCTATGCATTGGGTAGACATCAGACAAATAAAAGTCTTTCTGACTTTCAGTGTGGAGTGGTTTTGGATTCAAGATCCATGTGTTCCAGACTTTGACTCCAGTATAGATCCTCCTTTGCTAGGTGACCTTGAGTTGGTAACATGAGTTCCCTATATCTCAGTTTCCTGCTATGTAAAGTGAGGGTTCCTTTAGCTATCAAAAAAGTGACATGGGTAGGATAATACTGTTTCATCAAAGTCTTCCCAATTTGTTAGAGAAATACATAGCACTCAAAGTACTTAATTCTCCCTAGTTGTGGGATGGGAGGCTTAAAATAGAAAAAGAGACTTAACTTCAATCTTGAGCCATAAATGCCAGTTTGATAATTGAATAAAGAGAATAAATAACATTTTCAGACAAAAGGATCAGCATGTGTAGAGCGCATAGAGCTGAGAAACAAAAAAATCACAATAGATTCTAGGATCTATTGCAGTTGAGAAAGGTTGAAATGTGGGGAGCATGTGATGGATAGACAGAAGAAGGAGAGACGAGATCAGAGACTGTGTAAGCTTATTAAGCGTTTTGGTATTTATCTTGACAACCCTGACATATTGTTGAAGGTTTTTAAACAAGAAAATTAAATGGGCCCTTAGTCATGTTAGAAAAACCACTTCGGCAGTAATGTCAAACAGAGCTTGCAAACTATGGCTTATGGGCCAAATCCATCCTGCTCTCGTTTTTGTAAATAAAATTTGATTAGAACACAGTCACACATTGATTTATATGTCTATGTCTGCTTTTGCACCTTAGTGGCAGAGTTGCTTAGTTGCAACAGGGTCCCTGTGCCTGCAAAGTCTAAAGTAATTGCCATCTGGCTCTTTACAGATAAAGTTTGCCAACCTGGTGGAGAGGATGGATTAGAGGAAAGCAAAAGCTGAAGAGAGGTAGCTGTGTTACGAAGCCATCTCTAAACTATAAAAGCCATGGCAAGAGCTTGAATGAGGCAGGGGCAGAAAGAAAATCTCCAAAAGAAGTGGAATCAATAAGATTAATCTTATGTGACTAATCAGATGTGGAGGTGGAATGCAAAGAGGATTCAGTTTCTAGCTTGGGCAATGGGGCAACTGATGGTACCAGTTGCTGACATTGGGATGCCAAGAGGAAGAGCAGGTTTGGGGATGAAAAGGATGGCTCCAATTTGGACAAGTATGATTGGGATATGCAAGCAGAGGTGGTAGATGGAAATGTGGGTCAGAAGCCCAGGAGAATGATCTGCTCAGGATGTGTAGATCTGGGAGTTGTCAGAATAGAGATGCACGAATTTCTCAGAAGCACGTGTAAAGTGAGTGAGGGGAGATAGTCAATGGTAGGATGCATAGAACTGTTTAGGGATGGACACAGGAAGGAGAACCTGAAAAGACAATGGTGAAAGAGGTCTCAGAAGGGAAGAGGAAAACTAAGAGAGTATTTTCTGGGCAAATTATGTGAGGCAAAGTGAAATTAACCACCAATGTCCTATAAAGAGAATGCGGGGTAGGTAGTAATTTGGGGCAGGAGGAAGAAGGGGTGAAAGAAGAGTGATTTGAAGCAGCTGAAGACAAACAAAATAAGGAAGAAATAGCCTCCACTTACTGCCCACTGATGGGCCAGATACCATCCCAAGTGCTTACTTTTGTGAGTTCATTTCATCCGTGCAACAGCCTTTCAAGGTAGGAATAGTCATTTCCATTTTCCATGTGAGGAAACTGACGTGTTTCCTCATGCAGCAACTCATTCTAGGTTATGCTGCTAGCAAATGGCAGACTAGGGATTCTAACTTCCAAATCCATGCCCCTGAATCCTGCCAGAAAACTCATTGATATCAGCAACACTTCTCTCTGCCCAGCTTCTTATAAATATGAACTATTGCCAAAGCCCAGCTCCAATGTTATGTCTTCTGGAATAACCACCTGTCATAATGCATCTGTTATTCTCTGTTGGGTCAGCATGGCAGGGTCTTGAGGCAGAATTATATTATGTTATGAGTGCATACTCAGAAGTCCAACTACCTGGGAACAAATCCTAGCCCCAGCACTTAAAAACTATGTAACCTCATCACTCAATTTCTTGGTGCCTCTGTTTCCTCATTTATAAAATTGGGTCGGTAAGAGTCCTTATCATGTAGGTGGTTCATGAACACTTAGAACAGGACCTAGTGCACAGTGAACATTCAACAATGATAGCTCTCAAATGACTCTCAGGATGTGTCAGGCACTGCTCTAAGTACTTTCTGTGTATTAACATTTAATCCTCTCAACACACTTCCAAGGAAAATATGACTTTTGTCCTCATTTTACAGTTAAGAAATTGAGACATAAAGAGGTTAAGTAACTTGCTGAAGATCACACAGCTCAAACAAGCGTTTGGTAGTATTAATAGTGTTATGGGCCCAGGCTTAGTCCCATCAGAGCTAGTGTTTCTTTCTCTTGCTCATAATTCAGTCTGGCACTCAGTACGTTGTAATGTCAAATATATATATATATATATATATATATATATATATATATATATATATATACACACACACACATATATATACACACACACACACATATATATATACACATATATATACACATATATATATACACATATATATATACACACACACATATATATATATATATATATATATATACACACACACACACACATATATACACACATGGAGTCTTGCTCTGTCACCCAGGCTGGAGTGCAGTGGTATGATCTCAGCTCACTGAAACCTCCGCCTCCCAGGTTCAAGCGATTCTTCTGCCTCAGCCTCCTGAGTAGCTGGGACTGCAGGCATGTGCCACCATACTGGCCTAATTTTTTGTATTTTTAGTAGAGATGGGGTTTCACCGTGTTGGCCAGGATGGTCTTGATCTCCTGACTTCATGATCTGCCCACCTCGACCTCCCAAAGTGTTGGGATTACAGGCGTGAGCCACCGTGCCTGGCTAAGATATTGTATATTTGCTTGTTAGTCCCAAGAGGCTGAGCAAGTCTTCTGCTTTTTTGTACCCACAGCTATTAATACAACTGATTTGGTGACTTGGTTGAGGCAGTTCTGCACTGAAGGTTAAAGTGAATTTAAGGGTGACCTTGAAGCCAGAAGGCTGGCTTTTTGACTGTTCACCTTCTGGTGGTCGGGTTTTTAGATTTACTTTGCACTAATTGAGCAGATATTTAATTTTTGCTGGAAGTCACCTGGGTATGGTGGCAAGACTCCTAATGAGGCAAGGTGGAAGAGAAGACATGGAGCAAGGTAGAAGAGAAGACACACTGAAACTGATCCCTAGGGTTCTAAAGCTGAAAGGCACCTCCAGGATCTCTTGGCCCAATCTGTCAAAGGGAACAGTGCTGGAATAATAGCCATACCTGGCTATTATTGCTACATACTCTAATTGGCTTTTGGGCAATCACTTCAATTCCATCATGACTTCACAATCTGCAAAATGGCCCTCTTAGCCATTTTGGTGCAATGATGTAAAATGATTGATAAATGTGTATGGCAAAGAATTAAAAAAAAACTTTAGGGCTCTAACCATATACATTCTCGTTATTGTGAATATTAGTATAGTTGGCTCTGTAGATGTGTGCATATATAATGTACTTGTTAAATGATTGAACATTCCTGTCCCTCAGTTTCTTCTTTATGAAATGAGACAATGCTAGTACCTACCTCATAATGTTGCTGTGAGTTTCAAATGTATCTGCCTGTACTACCTGTACAGTTTTTAGACAAGTGCCTTACATGAAATAAGCATTCAGTCACTATTATTGAGGGCAAGGATTTTTCTCTCTTTGAGAAAACATTATACTCAATGTTTAGAGCTGACACATAGTGGGTGCTCAATAACTATGTGTGTAATGAATGAGAGATAATTAAAAAAATAGCAATCTCCAATAAGCCCCTCTGCAAACTGTAGGCAATGCCCCTCTTTTTATTAGCAGAACTTAGTCTTGGGTCCCAGTGCCCATAAGGATGGGAGACGTGAATTCTCAGGGAATGTCTGGGCAGATTTGTTCTGGTTCTGAAACCCTGTGCCCCTAAAACACTTCTCTCTCCCGTGTCAGGAGGCCAACCCTTTGGAGCTGGAGAATGCAGACGTAGGCTCAGTGGCACAGCTCTCAGCTGAACTGGAGACTTACAAGTTTTGGCAAGTACCATGGAGCTTCATTGCTGCAGTGGCTGCTGTCCAAATAAAAGCTATCTGTGGTGACTGGCTCTTTCTGATCCTCCAGATGGACTGGGCAACCCCTCTAGTCGGGGAGCTCTGGGGCAGGTGGTGGAGTCTCCTCTAGTTCTGAGTTTGTGGCTCTAAGTCCCTTGTCTCAGCTGGTGGGAAGCATGTGCTGTGGGGTGTAGTGGCCCATCTCTCTCTATTAGTTCCAAAGGCTTTGAGGGGCACCCTCTGCGATCCCTACCTCCCTAGATGATAAATAATCTCCACTGCAAACAGTCATCTGGGAAAAGTGGTTATGGTCGAGTGCAGATTCCTAAGGCTAATCATCATGCACAGCAGCCTCTAGATTCCAGCAAGGATAGCAATTCCTTCTCACCCAGGCAGCCAAGAAGTGGAAGAGTCTATTCCCTGTGCATTTATTGAAGGGTATGAAGAAAATAGCATGGACTTTGGAACCGTACTGACCTGGGTTTGAATTCCATCACTTATTAGTTGTGGCTTGTGTGCAAATCTTTCAACTTCTTTAAGTTGTGGTTTTCTCTATCTTCAAGATGAGGATAATAATATTTTCCTTGTGGGTCTATGTAAAGTTTAATGATAGGACGTGTAGGGATTCCTAGCACAGAGCCTGGCATATAGGTGATACCTGACACAAGGCAGCTGCTATGACTTATATAAGCAAGTAAACAGATTTAGTTTAGTCTCAAGAACAGGGTCAGCAAATGCTTTCTCTAAAGGGCTACACAGTAAATATTTTAGGTTTTGTGGGGCCATATGGTTCTCTGTTGCAATCACTTCACTCTGCTATGTCAAAGTAGCCATAGACCATACTTAAACCAATGGAGCATGGCTGTGCTATGATAAAACTTTATTTACAAAAGCAGGCTGCTAGCAGGGTTTGGCTCCTGGGTTATAATTTTCTCACACAAGGAGTCCTGTAGTATCTACATACTCTAATTGCTAATAATGTTTTTCTGTTTTATTTTTATGGTGGTTATTGAATTCTTCTTTGTGCAATAGATGGCCTCGGCTCAGAAGCCTAGATTGTGTTTGTCCCTGGACTCAGGCATAACTTGGAAATTCTGTAGGGCCCATTTTGCGTATGAAACCAACATTTCAGATAACGAGGAACAAAAAGTGAAAGCACATTAAGTTGCTTCAAAGATGATAGGGGATGGGGAGAAGTGGCTTTGAATGCAGTGTTTTTGTTTCTGGAGAGCAGGGGCTGCATCCGACTCATCTGCAGGACCTGGTACAGAGTAGCCAGGCTTTTGTGAGTGAATTCTATAAATGGATCCTACATAATTTCTTTCAGTCCTCCTACCATAGCTGTATGTCACCAAGGGTATGGGACTCTGCCTAATTAGATGGAAAGCTCCCATCTGAGTTAAAACAGAAATGTCCATGACAAAATTGGGCAGCCACTTTGGGTTATGTTTGCAGTGTGCTTGCAAAGCCTCATGGGATTAAGGCTAACACTCAAGCAATAGCAGAAGGCAATGTTTGTTGAAGAAGATGGTGGCAGATATTTTCCAAATATGGCCACACCAATGTGTGTGCTGTCCTACAAGTTCTTATTACAATGTGATATTAACACTCTTCCATCAAGAAATATGGTTTATGTTCCTTCCCTTGGACCTGGTGGAACTTTGTATACGCCTTGATCAATAGAATGTGGTAGAAGTGATGCTGCATGAATTCCAAGAGTAGGCTGCAAAAGGCAATATGGTTTCTACCTGTTATTTTTCTCACTTTTAGGGCACTTGTTCTTTTTTTTTTTTGAGATGGGGTCTGGCTCTGTCACCCAGGCTGGAGTGCAGTGGTGCAATCTTGGCTCACTGCAACCTCTGCCTCCCGGGCTCAAGCGATCCTCCCACCTCAGCTGCCCCAGTAGCTGGGACCACAGGTGTGTGCCACCAAACCAGGCTTACTTTTTGTATTTTTAATAGAGACGGTGTTTCACCGTGTTGCCCAGGCTGGTCTTGAACTCCTGAGCTCAAGCGATATGCCTACCTCAGCCTCCCAAAGTGAGGATGCTTGTTCTAAAAATTTATCCACCATGTTGTGATGAGTCTCAGTGCACATGGAGAAGCCATGTGGAGAAACCATTCTGACAGCCTCAGCTAAACCCAGGCAACAGTCAATATCAATGTGTGAGTGAATGAGTCTTCAGATAATTCCAGCCTCCAGCCTTTGAGTCTTCCAGTTGAGGCTTCAAACATGATGAGAAAGTGAGCATTGATTCCCATAGGCCTTGTCTGAATTTTCTATCCATCTCCAACCTCTGGAGAGGAAAGGGGGGCTGAAGATTAATTTGATTACCAATGACCGATAGTTTAATCAGTCATGCCTACATATTGAAGCCTCCATAAAAACCCAAAAGGACAAGGTTTAAAGAGCTTCTTGATAGTCGAACATGCGGAAATGCCTGGAAGGTGGTGTGCCTGAGAAAGGCAGGAAAGCTCTGTGCCTCTTCTTTCGTACATCTCTTCATCTGTATTCTCTGTAATATTCTTTATAATAAACTGGTAAATATATTTTTTAAAAAACAAATTCACAGTGAGATCACAAATAATGATTGCTTTTTGAAGCCACTAGGTTTGGAGTAATTTGTATCGTAGCATTAGATAGCTAATATTGGTTGCAAAGATGTCGCAACCCTGTTCTGCCCTGTCTGTCCTATTGTGTCTGGAGGACTTGATAGGACAATAATACTGCTACAAGGCAGCAGGCACCCTGAGTTCATTCATTCATTCCCTACTCTGCACCAGGCTCTGTGTTAAAGTCTGGGGAAACATAGATGTATATGCTGCGCCAGCTCCTGCATTCAAAGAGGTTATCATCCACAGCGGAAGACAGACACTAACCAACTCATTAAATTTACAAACGGGTAAAGGCTTAAAGAAACTTGCAGACAGTACAGCAAAAGAACAGTGAGGGGACCATTATTTTTACGTGGAGGACTTTGGAAAGGCTCTACACTGAAGGTGACACTCGACTGGGTTCTGCAGGAAGTGTAGCAGTTCACTGTGCAGCCGGGTGAGGAGCAGGAATTCTAGGCAGAGGAAACTGTGCATAAAAGTCTGCAGGTGGGAAGGCAAGTAGAGGGCTGGAGGAATATGGCGGATGGAAAGTAGAATTTGAAGAAGGACTCACAGGAAAAGAAGCAGGGAAAGTAGGATGAAGCCCTATTGTGTTGAGCCTTCCATGGTTGTTCTAAGGAAGTTAACTTTCTTCTCTAAGCAACAAGGAGCCACTCAAGTATTTTGAGGAAGGGAGTGAGTGAGTTGCCTAGACTTGTATTTTGGATGGGCCGTTTTCCAGTCTGGAAGATAGGCAGGAAGGATTGAAGCCAAGGATTTCAGTTTGGAGTTTGTTATTTCCTTAGAGATCCTGGAAGGAGATCCTGAGACAGGCAAGTTGTCTGCAGCAATGAGGAGAAGATGGGTATGTAAGATGTTGCAGGGTGACCACTACCTGGGAGGAACCAGAAAAAGGGAGGTATTCCCCTCCCCTGGCCTGGGTGATGGGCTCAGGGTGGCGACACTAACAGACAGGAGCAGGGTGTGGGGAAGATGACGAGCTGTGAGGTTTGGACTTTCAAGTGGAAACATCCTGTAAGCAGTCCATATGTGGGTCAGAGACCCCATGGAGAGATGTGGGATGGAGATAGAGCATTGGGAGTTGTCAGATTATAGGTATAATCGAAGCTGTGGGAGTGAATGAGGTTATTGAGGGCAAGCGTTTCTCAACTTGAAAACATGGGGCCTACACTCTTTGGCAAACATAATGCTGGGCCAGCTAAGATTCACTGCATCATCCATATGTCTCTACCACCAAGGAGGTGTTGCCAAGCTTTGCCCTCAGTGATTTGTATTAGAAACAATAGAAACATCTCTTTCCTTTGTTAAATATTAAGTTATAATATTGAACATGATGTTTTCAAAATGTATTTATCTTATTCCAAAGATTCTGATAGGGCTGGCATTTTGCTCTCCCTTTCCCTCCCTAATGCCTCTATGATTCCCTAGAATCTAACACAGAGCCTGGTGCAGAGTAGGGGATGAATGAATGAATCAATGAACAAACGAATGAATGAATGAATGAATGAAGAACTCAGTATGCTTTCTGACTTGTAGCAGTGTTATTGTCCTCTCAAGTTCTCTAGGACATAATAGGAACAGACAGTGCAGTACAGGGTTGCAAAACCTTTGCTTTCTCTCTCTAATGCTACAAAACAATTGGGGGAGAAAATATGGGAAATTAGAAGAGTTCAGGGGGTTGAGGCCTGTGCTACACCAACTTATAAAGGAAGAGCTGAATAAAAGGACCCTGAAAAAAGAAATGGAGAGAGGAGGCGGGGCATAAGAGATGGGGAAAGGGAGGTGGAAAGAAATGGAGCAGGGCATCTGGGGAGGAGAGAGTTTCTTTTGGGAGGTTTACTGTCCCAGGTACTAAGATAAGGACCAAGGTGAGGCCATTAGTGAATGGATGGGAAGGTTATAGGTGCACACGTCTCCCACAGACTCAGACGTGACTGCACATTGGTGCAGGCTGGGTCAGGGTGGAGGTGGCTTCCTTCCCTCAAGGGGATCTTGACTGCATGACTTGATGCTGCCACACACCAGTTATTTCACAATTTGTGTAGCTGATTTTGTGAACTTTGGAAAGTTCTGCGACATTTCTGCCAGTTAAAATTATTCTGTCTTTGGGAAGTCGGGGAGGTGGGTGGCCCCGGTACTGTGCCATTTGTCCAGAGCCAGTTCAGACAAACACAGTGGAGGCAGAGAGTTGGGGAGTGAGAGGAAGATGGAGGAGCAGGGAGGATGTGGATGGACTGTTCTCTCCTTGGCTGGCTGAGGGCATAGCTACTGTTTCTTGCAGGAAAGTCAGCTCTGCTCTGACAAACAGAAAGCGCGTGGTGTCTGGCCCCATGTCTCTTTGTGATTCCAGTCAACACACATAAGGAGCATGTCTCCATGGCTGGATTTACTTGCATTTCACCTCCATGGGAATTTTTTCAGAAAACAAAACCAAACCCAAAACTCTGCCTGTTTTGCACGTATGTGTTTTGGTAATTTTTTTTCAGTGAGGATGTTAAATCAACGCCAAAAGAGTCATTAAAATCAAACATGCAGTTACCTTCTGTACCCTTTCAGTATCCGGGAACAATTAAGCTTAAGCAAACAAAATTGCCTATGGCCTAAAAATGGAAAATAAATCCCTCTAGCTTGCCTAAACCCCTGAGACTTTGGATGGACTAACCAACCCTTTCGTGCTCATCTGACCTTATGGCACAGGTCTCTAGATTTTGTTTGCCTGTGGTTTTTTTGTTTTGTTTTGTTTTAATTTTTTTTTTAATCCTACACATGAACAGTTGCAACCATTTCCAAGATTGTCATGGGTAGTCAATAAGCACATTTGTTTTTCGAGAGGGATGTATTTTGATGAAGAGCAGAAAGTATGATGGGGAAAATGTCAGAAGGAATTAAATCAAGGAGTGACATAACTCCCACGGGGAGACAGACGTCAGCTGTATTCCCCGTTTCTTGCTCTACCTTGGAAATCTTTCAGAATTCATTGGAAAATAAATATGTATGTGATGGAGAAGTGAGTGAATTCAATAGCTACAATAAGAGAGAGGGAATGAAATGAAAACACACCCTTGGTTGGATTACTAAACTGATTTAAATTCATAATTCACAGCGGTATGTAAAGCATTGTTTTTCATTGCGTCTGCCTCTTTGCAGGATTGAAAAAAAGGTAATTTGGAGTTCATTATTTCTGACTTGGAACACAGTATTCTGTATAGTAGGCTCTCAATAACAATTTGTCAAACATTAAGTGCAAAAATGAGTGACAATGGATGAGTAAATAGCAAATGTGTCTAGCTATAGGCAGGAGAAATTATGTCAGGGTCAGAGGAACTTGTTGGGTTATATAAGATTAAATTGTTGTGAATTAAAAACAAAACAGAAAACTTTGTACTCCTATGCTGATCATTATGTGGGCAGGTTCACACCCATTATTGTATTAAATTCTCTGAACAACACTGTGAAGTAAATATTATTATCTCTAATTTATAGTTAAGGAAACTAGAGCTTAGGGAGATTAAGCAGTTGCCCAAAGTAGCATATTTAAGAAGTGGCAAACATGACAATCAGACCTGGGTCTTCTTACTCTTAACTAAGCCTTCCTTTCATCCATTATGATAAGACAATGGAAGGTTGGAGATATGTATATTTAATGCAGCCTCCAGGGATACTGCATGTTTCAGAAAATTTATCAATAGAATTTCATTTTATATTTCCAAGCTCTAATGTGAAAAGAAAGAAGGATTCTCATCTGTTTGGATAGTTTAAATGGAGTTTTGTTTGAAGCTGTGAGACTGGTGAGGTTTTTGGTTATTGATTTTATACACTTGAGTTTTCCTGAAATTTGGGTACTTATATTTAAAAATTAAATTTTACTTTGCAATATTCACAAACTTAAAGAAGAGTTGCAAGTACAATTCAAAGAAATTTTTTTCCTTTTAAAATATTTGGAAATAAGTTACCAGTCTGATGGCTTAGGATCCCTGAATACTTAGTGAGTATTTCCTACAAGCAAGGATATTCTCCTATATAACCATAACGCAACCATCAAAATCAGGAAGTTAACATCTATACAATATGATTATTTAATTCTCAAACCCCATTCAAGTTTCACCAACAGCCTCATAACGTTTTTTCAGTCCTGAAAGACTCCTGCTTAGAATCATTGTGCTTAGTTGTCATGTCTCTTCAGTCTCCTGTAGCATGAAACAGTTTCTCAGTCCTTGACTATTTTCATGACCTTGACACTTTGGAAGATCATGAGCAGCTATTTTGTAGAACACCTCACAGTGTGAGTTTATCCGATGTGTCTTCATGATACTTTTCCAGTTATGCATCTTGGGCAGGGATAGTGCAGAAGCGGCACTGTTCTCGTTGCCTCCCATCGCAGGGTGTGGAATCCCAGTTCGTCCCATTACTGATGATGCTCACTACACTCACTTCCTAAGGTGACATCTGCCAGGCTTATCCACTGGAAAGTTACACTCTTTTTCCCCGTTGTGATTTTGTAGGGAGGTAATTTTGAAATAATGCAGACTGTTCTCCACCACACTTTCACTTTTGAAGTTGTTTGTCAGCATGGACTTGTGGTTTCCTATTTTGTCCGTGAGTTATAATCCATTGCGATCATGATCTATTTTGATGTTTAAAGTGTGCCAGATTCGGCCAGTGGGAGTCCTTCCAATCCGGCCTCTGTGTCCTTTTGACATGTCCCCATCATTCTGTGAGTCCCTCCTCATTCTCTGGCACAAGATGCTCCAGGCTCATCTTGTTCTTTCCCTGCCCTACTCTTGGAATCAGCCATTTCTCCAAGGAACCCTGGTTCCTTTTAGTTCAAAATGTTATTTGAAAGCTAAGATTTGGGTGCTAGATGTGCTCATTGCTTTCAGGGTGTTGCTGTTCTCAGGTCCTTGGTGTGGACAGAGTCAGCAAATAAACAACACACACACACACGCACACACACAGAGGCTTACATTTATATCTATAGTTCTTTCTATACTTTCTTTCTACATATGTACTGAAAATAGTAAGTTCACACACGTAGTTCCAATTCCAGACTAACACCATACAATTCATTCTAGTTTTCTCCTTTTCCATATTTATAACTCCCTTGTCCCACTGTGTAAAACCTAGCTTCCATTATCCTTAATAGATTTACTTATTTATTTATTTATTTTTTTGAGACAGGGTCTTACTCTGTCACCCAGGTCTGAGTGCAGTGGCACCATCAGGGCTCACTGCAGCCTCAACCTCCCAGGCTTAGGTGATTCTCCCATCTCGGCCTCCTGAGTAGCTGGGATGACAGGCACGTGCCACAACACACTGAAAATTTTTTGTAGAGATGGGGTTTTGCCATGTTGCCCAGGCTGTTCTTGAACTCCTGGATTCAAGCAATCTACCCACCTCGGCCTCTCAAAGTGCTGGGATTACAGGCATGAGCCACCTCGCCCAGTCATATTTATGAGTTGATTCCCCTGAAGGTAACCTATCTTCCCTTTCTGCCACTACCCCCATCTGCACGCAAGTCGTCTTCCCCTATCTCAGGCTCTGACACCCATCCCCACACATGTATGTTTGCCTCACCTTTCTTAGGCTTTAACTTCCTCTCTTTTATTTTTATTTTTTTTTTATACAGATAGGATCTCACTATGATGCCAAGCCTGATCTTGAACTCCTGGCCTCAAGTGATCCTCCCGCCTCAGCCTCTTACCACACTGAGATTACAAGCATGAGCCACCAGGCCTGGCCAACTCCCTCTCTTTGGGCCATTCCTCCCTCATATGGACATCTTTCTCACCCTGCTTAGGCACTGACACCCCACCCCAGAATGTGCCCTATACAAACTCCCTCCTGACCCTGCTAGAAACATAGCACCATGTGCCAGGTGTCCCCTCTGTAGGCTCAGGCTCTGACACCCTGCTGTTAACCACCATGGCTTTTCCATGCCAAACATAGACATGGCTTTGTCCTAACTAATAGTTTAGGACTGAATTTTTCAGAAAGAAAAGGGAAGAAAAAGGAAAGGAAGGAAAGAGGAAGAGGATAGAGAAGGAGAAAAAAGCAAGTGCTTACCATTTCAGTTAAAAAATAAGGCAATTTGTCAATCATATCTCAATAAAGCTGATGAATTAAAAATCATCTTTTATCTCCTAGGAGCTTTTATCCAGGCTAAAAGAATATTTTTTAAAGGAGAATATATTTAGGGCTGGGTGTGGTGTGGCCCACACCTGTAATTCCAGCACTTTGGGAGGCTGAGGCAAGAGAATTTCTTGAGGCTAGGAGTTCGAGACCAGCCTGGGCAACATAGTGAGATCCTGTCTGTACAAAAATTAAAAAAAATTAGCCAGGCATTGTGGCATGCCCCTTTAGTCCCAGCTATTTGGGAGGCTAAGGCAGGAGGATTGCTTGAGCCCAGGAGGTCAAGGTTACCATGAGCCATGATCTCACCAGTCCCCTCCAGCTTGAGTGACAGAGTGAAACCCTGTCTCAAAAAGAGAAATAAAAATAAATAAATAAGTAAAAAAGAGAATATATTTTGTGAATGAAGCAGGCAATAATCAGAACCAATCTTGACTGTATGGATATCTTTGATTAGAACCAGGCATCTTTTGCCACCAGCTTGTATGGTCCTTTCTTTACCACAGAGCCTGCAAGGCAAATAACTACATTTCTCAGATTTCCTTGCAGTTGGAGTTTTGGAAGCAAATTAGATTCCACCAATGAGATGAACTCCCAGGAGCCTTGGAAGTTGGAAGTGAGATGGAAGCCATGGTCCTGTTGTCATTGCTGCTGGCAAGTGAGGTTATAAACATATGCGTGTCTGTGGACTGACACAAATTTATGGCGTGTCATGCAGTCACTGGCTTTTTGAGTGTGAGAGGCATCAGTTGTTTAAGTCAGTAGCAGCAGCAGCAACGGTGTTCTGATCTCTGATCTTGGCTTTGGAGGTGTGCACTGAACCAGCAGTCCTCTAGAATGGGTCCTCTAACCTTCCAAGGATTATATAAACACCTCATTTTCTGTATTAAATGTCCTTTGTTTAAAATACTGAGAGGGGCTTCTGCTTCCTGCGCTGATTCCTAACTGCTACCCTGATTGTATATAAAGGAGGATTAGATAATAGGCAATGGATATTAACTTCTGGAAGGGTGTCACCGCATTTTATTTACATTAGAACTTGTTTTGTACTTATTATGGGTAATGTGCTTAACTAGATGCAAAGATATTAATAACAGCATCAAACACACACATCCTGGTCTCAAGGAATTTTCAGACTAGAAGAAGGAAGTAGAGTAAAAAAAAAACAATAAGCAATTAGGTCTAAAATAAGACAGATGAAGATAAGTGTTGTAAATGAGATATAAATAGAACATTCCTCACATGTCACTGAGTAAGGTCTAAACTCCATTCCATGGCATTAAAGGTCTCCCAGCTAGTCCACCTCTTCAGCATCATTTGTTGCTACTCATCCCTGGGTCAATCACACCTGATGTCCAGCCATACAAATCTCCTTGCCATATCTTACATTCCACTTTCCCTTTTAGACTTGGAATGCCTGGAGAACTCACATCCACTCTCCAGGACCAAACTTCAATGTCAACTGCTATATAAAGGAATCATGCAGAGTTAAGCTCTCCCTCTTGGACTTCCAATTAACTGGAGAAACCAGGTGCCTGTTGAAAGGATATCTGTCTCCTTTCTTTTATTTATTTATTTTTTTTGAGACAGAGTCTCTGTCACTCAGGCTGGAGTGCAGTGGCACGATCTCGGCTCACTGCAACCTCTGCCTCCTGGGTTCAAGTGATTCTCCTGCCTCAGCCTCCCAGGTAGCTGGGAATACAGGATGGGCCACCACATCTGGCTAATTTTTATATTTTTAGTAGAGACTGGTTTCACCACTTTGGCCAGGCTGGTCTCGAACTCCTGACCTCAGGTGATCTGCCCGCCTCAGCCCCCCAGAGTGCTGGGATTACAGGCGTGAGCCACCGTGCCTGGCCTCTCCTTTCTTTAAAATTGTTGCTTGCTGGTCCTTTTAGAGAATGTGGCTTCTGAAAGGAGAAATTATACTATTAAAAGCCACTCCCCCTTTTTCCCAGGGGACTGCTTTATTGTTGTAAAGTAGTTAAATAAAGCAAAACTTTCAAAGACTGATCCTTTATTTAAAAATATTATATATATATGCACAGACTCATATATGCACACATTATCATATATGTAATTCTAATTCCTGATAGTTTCTGCCTACACATGGGGTTTTTCCCTTGGGGCCCAAGTTCTCAATGAACTGCCAGAACAACTGTCAAGATGAGCTTTGGACACACATAGAAGGAATTGTGCAGCAGCATATCTTTTTGTAAAGATGGATCCCTTTCTGTATTCTAAATTAATTCATATATTGTATACTCCTGCCACTTATTTGGGGTCATGGGGGTGCTTAGCATTGCCAATGTTATTATGACACATTCGTGGAATGCTGTATGTTTGAAAAATAGTTTACAATGGTTTGTTAATAAGCATAAGCTGAGAACATTTCAGGAATGGTTGATTCACTTTGTAAAGCACTGGCAGCAACATATAATATTTATGGGATTGCAAAATCTCATTAAATGAACAAATTTCCATTTTTCCTACTTGGATTCAGCCATCATTTATTGAGTGCTGACTAAATTGTATGCACTGCACTAGAATTTGACTGAATGAATGAATGCCCATTAAACAACTACCATGCCAGCCATTGGGTAAGTATTCCATTGAGTGAATGAAAACACCTATTAAGGACCTTCTATGGACTCAGGTATAAGGCTAGATTTGAACTAATTGGATAGGATCCTATTGTGCATCTCGAATATGCCAGACACTGCACGAACATTCCATTAAATGAATAAATATTTATTAGGCAATTACTATGTGTGAATCATTAAGCCAGACACTTTAATATACATGATCCTGCTTAATCCTCTCTACTGTAATGGAGAGGAGCAAGTATTACTATTTCCATTTTATACATGAGGAAACAGAGGCAAAGAGGCTGAGATTCACACCCAGAGTGCAGAGAAACTGAAATTTGAACACATGTCTCCTAACTCTGTAGCCAGTGCTCTTTCTATTATGCAATCATGGTTCTCCGTGTTTGTAGAACCAAACCTAATTTTATAGCATTAAAACAAATGAGAACTGATGGTACATTGAATATCACCATGTGGAAATGTATTTCTGTAATATTCTCAAGGCAAGAAGAAAACTTGACCTCACTTGTTAAAGATTAGTCATTGGAGCAGTTAAAATTCCTGTGTTCTTGAGCCCTGGCCTCTCTTTTGTGAGAAGGTTGTAGACAATCGGTTGAGTTAGCTCTCAGGGCTGTGGAGATAATTCCCACTGTGGTCGCTAAAACTCAAGTAACATTTCTCATCCAAATAAGAGACAACAAGAATGGCACTGCTTGAAGAAGGCCAGACAATTGTTCTCTTGAATTACATCCTAGTTTTTAGGCCATGTCTTATGCATTCAGTTAATTAGTCTGCAAAGGCTCACTGAATGCCTAGTGCATGCCAGGCACTGTGCAAGTGCAGGATGTGCAATGAGACTTGGCCAATTTTTAGCTGTGTGGCCTTGGGCAAGTTCTTTAATATCTCAGTCTCAGATTCCCATCCAGAAAGAGGCCAGGTGTTTATGGAGGGTATTATTATTCTTCCTTTTCTTAAACTCTTAATATTCAATTTCTTAGGCTACAAAATAAGTTTAATGTTACATGCTGCCATCTATCTATCTATCTATCTATCTATCTATCTATCTATCTATCTATCAGCATCGTCATTTATCATCTCTATATCTATCTATCATATGTCATCTATATATTTCATCTATATAAACATTTAAACAATATTTTTTTCTGGCTCATTATTTTTCTTAATTCCACAAGCCTACAAAGTAGGCATCTTTGCAGTGAGCTATACTCATGCCAGTGCGCTCCAGCCTGGGCAAGAGTAAGACACTGTCTCTATCAAACAAACAAACACCCCAAACCGGACAAAACAACAACAACAAATAAAACAAAGTAGGCATTCTTACCCAATTTTACAGATGAGGAAATCAAGGCCCTGAGAGATTAAGTAACCTTTTAAAGTCACATGGCTAATAAAATGGCAGAACCAGGATTTAATCTCAGGTGTGTCTGGCTTCAGAGGCTTGCTCTCTCCTCCATAATGTGTTGGGTTTGCAGAGACACTGACAGTAAAATATGTGAAATACTCCTGCAGAAATTGATTCTAACAATGAAATGGCAGAGGAGGATCCAAGGTAGGATTAGCCCATCCAGTTAGTTTACTCTCAGTTTGCTCTGAAAGTGATCTTTAGATATTTGAAACAGAAGAAAGTCAGTCTCCTCCAGTAATGACTAAAGAAAAACTGTGCACATTGGCAAAATGGCTGGTATCCTTGCAAACATTCCTCCTGGCTCAAGCTGCAGGAATGGCACAGAGCCCTGGAGCATAGGAAGAGCAGGTGTGGCTTCCAGGGGTACCACTAGTTCTTTCTGCTTCAGTGTAGCTTCCTTTTGAAGCCTTGGTTTCTTTCATCTATAAAATAAGAGATGATAATTTGCTCAGTGATTGCCATGGGGGTTAAATAAGAAACACAGATGAATGCATTTGGATGAGGCACATTTAAATGAAGTTTAACTCACTATGGAGTGAGTCTGTGTATTAGGCATTCTCTGAGTACTGGGTACAGTGATAAATAATGTCGGGATGGTCTTTCGGAGAAAAAGATGTGATAATGGCAGTGTGGACAGGCTGTGGAGAAGGGAGTCATTATCTGGTGTTTGGCTGGATAGTTTAATATGGGGAAGCCTTCAAGGGATATATTTCAAGTTAATGGGATGGGAAGAGGGGAGGGGGAGAAGCAGTTCTTCTGCCTGGGTGGGGTGGGGGGGATGATATAACTGCATCAATCTTCCCTGATGCTGCAGCTGTCCGGAGATCTTTGCCTTTGGCCTTGTTCTTGGCAGAAAGTTCGGCAGTAAGTGGTGCTGTGGAAAATATCTCTGTGGTTAATGAATCAATTCATTAAAAGCACTTAAAACAATGAGAAAAACCCTTTGCTGGTTTGTTTCCATCAAGAATGGGCATCACATGTTGCCTCATCACATCTTTCAACCCAGTGACCCAGGTCTCCTCCTCGTTGCTAGAATCACAGTCTTCACATTTCTCAGGATGCGTCCGGAACTTGGTGACCCTTACGGATGTACTATGTGTTATCACTAGGGTGGTGAATCATGCCAGATGTAGATTTTACCCCCGCTGTTCTCCAGGGAGTACTATGATAGAGAGTTCTTAGAATCCTAAGGCTATTGCATCATAGCTGTGGGATTTGGGGCATATTTTCTTAATAACTTGTATAGGAAGTATACAAGTATAGGAGTATATGGACTCAGTTTTCATGCCTATGAAAATTGTGAAATATGACCTACCTCAAAGAGCTTCTATGAAGAATCAATGAAATACTGTGTAAATGCTTGGGATAAAGTAGATTCTAAGTAAATGTTTTCCTCCAACTTTCCTTTTTCTGCATCAGAGGTCAACAAACTATGGCCGACTGGTCAAATCTGACCACCTACCAGTTTTTGCAAATGAAGTTTTATTGGAACATAGCCACACCCATTCATCTCTGTATCCTCTATGGCTGCTTTTGTGTACAATGGCAGAGTGTACGGCTGTGACAGAGACCAGATGAGTCATCTGTCCACAAAGCCAAAAATATTTACTGTATCATCCTTTACAGGATATCTTTGCCAACCCCTGTTCTACATAGTAGCCTTATCTCTGTGTCCTTTTCCTTCCAAAATTTCTCTTTATCAGACTAAATGCCACTGGTGACTTAGGCCACCACTCCTATGTCAAAGTGTTTAGTCCCTCTGGTTGTTGTCCGAATGCAATCCTATTGATTGCAAGTCCTTGGCCGGGCGCAGTGGCTCACGCCTGTGATACTAGCACTTTGGGAGGCCAAGGCGGGAGGATCATGAGGTCAGGAGATCGAGACCATCCTGGCTAACACGGTGAAACTTCATCTCTACTAAAAAAAAAATACAAAAAATACAAAAAATTAGCTGGCATGGTGGCGGGCACCTGTAGTCCCAGCTACTCAGGAGGCTGAGGCAGGAGAATGGCGTGAACCCTGGAGGCGGAGCTTGCAGTGAGCCGAGATCACGCCACTGCACTCCAGCGTAGGCGACAGAGTGAGACTCCGTCTCAAACAACAACAACAACAAAACACACACACACACAAAAAACAAAAACAAGTCCTTTGAGCATGACTCCAGGTACTGGGCAAACTTCAATCCAATCCTGCTGGCTTTGGTCTGACCAAATCTGAGAAGGTGTCTGTAGGTATCACCAGATTACCAAAGAAGTTCATGTACAGATATGCATGCTTTTCATGATGGTAGCAGCTCATTCTCAAAAGCCTCAGGAGTCACAGATCACTCCTTTGCCCAGACAAATCTCCAAAGAGGCAAAGAAAGTTTTTGAGTTCTTCTCTTCTGTCAGACTAAGATAAGATATGTTTGTCAATTGGGTTCTCTGAGAAGCAGCTTATGAGAGGAAGTTAGAAATATAAGCAGTTTATTGGGGAGAGCAATGTCACTTGCGTTAAATAACAAGCACGAGAAGCAGAATTGGGCAAGGAAAGCCTTCAGACCATGACAAGGAGAACCTCAGACCTCAATTCAGGTCTCCCAAAGTCTCTGCCAACCCAAATGAGAGCTCCAGAACAATGACTGCCTGCTAAAGGAGTCCCATATTAGGCAGAAATGGCCAGGCATGAGGACTAGCCATTGGCTAGAGGATGCTCAGGAGGAAGGTGGTCCTGGCTTGAAAGCTGAGTACATCCTGAAGGTGTTATGGCAAGACACTATCAGCTACCTTATCTCATGCAGCACAATGGCAAGTTCTTTCTCTAAGAGAGATCTGAGCAGTGCACCTGGTCCATGTCTGCCCCAACTCGAAAAGGCCAGCACAATCCTGGAGTAACATGCAACATAGCCAGAGACAAAAAAGCATGTCTCTGGGAGAATTGTGTATCTGGTTTTATTTGCACAGGGCACCAAAATCTTGATTTTCATAGTCAGGTAGAGTCTTTCCAAGCTGGGAATCTTGGAATCTTTTTTTTTTTTTTTTTTTTTTTTGAGAGGGAGTCTTGCTCTGTTGCCCAGGCTGGAGTGTAATGGCACGATCTCAGCTCACTGCAACCTCCGCCTCCCGGGTTCAAGCAAGTCTCCTGCCTCAGCCTCCCAAGTAGCTGGGATTACAGGCATGCACCACCATGCGCGGCTAATTTTTGTATTTTTTTAGTAGAGCTGGGGTTTCACCATATTGGCCAGGCTGATCTGGAACTCCTGACCTCAGGTGATCCGTCTACCTCAGCCTCCCAAAGTGTTGGGATTTCAGGTGTGAGCCACTGCGCCCAGCTTGGGAATCTTTTATACTAGTATCTAGAGTAGTTCTTTGACTTAGGACTTTAGGAAGGTGACTGGAGGATTTGTTGATAATGATTGGGAGACTGAGTCCATACTCTGTAATGATAATGATAATAACGAGGATGATATTAAGGAGGATGATAGAGTTTCTACATGAATATAGAGTCAAGGAATTACAAGGACTACCTATTAGGCACTGATGTTAGAATCTCTCTCCTCTGCCCTTCGGTAGCTGGAGCTTACCCAGTGTGGGAGTCAGCTCTGATCCCACTGCGACTCTTCTCCCAGGAGTTCTCTGCTATGCTCCATGCCATCTTATCATAGGCAGTGGATACCAAGGCACATACTTCTTGCTTCAGAGTCTATCACTCATCATAGACAATACGTAGTCTTTTCTTAGGAACTTACTCAAAGGAGATGCTGAAAATGCTTCATCTTTATCACTTGATTTCTGTGGATGCTGAATTTTGCCTCTAATGTGCCTTCTAAAGTGCTGCCTGTGTCCACTGCTTGCAATGACAATGAAGGTGGGAGCTGCCTTTTTCTAATCAAACATACTGGGCTACACTCATGCTGGAAAAATATGTCCTGCTTCAGGGTGGCCATTCTTTGTTGTAAGTCTAGAAAGAGCATCTGAGTCCTGATTGGCAGGAATAATCACTGTCTGTTGAGAATACCTTTGTAGCTCCACTATATTTCCTGTGTAAAGTATTTAACATCCCCTGACATCAGGATTTAAAATTAATTTAGGGCTACGATGGAGCCTTCTTAGAATCCTAAGGCAATTATATTGCATCATAGCTGTGGGATATGGGACATATTTTCTTAATAACTTGTATAGGAAATATACAAGTATAGGAGTATATTGACTCAGTTTTCATGCCTATGAAAATTGTGAAATATGACCTACCTCAAAGAGCTTCTATGATGAATCAATGAAATACTGTGGAAATACTTGGCATAAAGTAGATTCTAAGCAAATGGTAATTGATATGTAATAATTTTCTTAGGTAACTTGATATGCATTAATTTTCTTTCTCTGCTTTTCCTCCTGGGTTGAGTTTATTTGCCATGCATTTGGGAGATAGTTCCTTCTGTCCCTCACTGAAATGGCTGGATTGAAATATTGGACTTCTAAACGGATTTGTGCAAATATTGTCTTCCCAGGATGGCCCTTCAGTCTTTCAAACTCAGGTCCTTTGGCAAGGTCCTTGGCAGCAATGAAAGTGTCCTCCTGGGCATGGGCAGTCATCCCCATGAATGGTGAGCCAAACAGTCAGAGGAAGGCGGTGCTCATGCCAGGAAGATCAGGCACTTGCCAGCTTCTCCTTGGCCCAGCACTGCATGCCCTGAGATGATGTATAGCCACACAGTTAGGAGAGATCTTGACTCTGAGATCCTCAGCACTTCCCTCTCCACCTCTTTGAAGATCTGAGCTGAAAACAACACTTGGCCCCCAACACTAATAACACCCATCTCTCTCTGTTTGAGAATCTCTAATTAGCTAGGCACTTCCCATGTATTATGTCATTTAACAACACTCTGAGGTAAGGGTGCTTATTCCCATGTTAGAAATGGGGAAACGGAGGCTCAGGAGTTCCTTGCCATTGGTCAAACAGTTGGTAAGTGGTAGGCCTGGGATGTGAACACAGGTGTGTCCTTTCCCCTACACGCAGTTCCCATAATAGAGAGTGATCCAGGAAGTAATGAAGCCAATTGCATCCCGTGTGAGGGAAGAGCATCTGCTGAACAGATGCCCGGATATACTGGCCGAGTGCCATGAGGACATAGCTTTTTCTTGGCGATGAGGGCAATATCAAGAGACTGCTCCATGGCAGAAATGCTTTTACCATGAGTCACCCCATTACTCCATTTGGAGAGTTTATAGCTAAGGAGCTACAGCAATTCACCTGTGTCTCCTACATGTTTAAGCCCCAGCAATCCAGAAGAGCAATTCTATTAAGCAATATCCTCCCAGCAACGTATGGAGAGTATAAGAAATCATGTGACTTATGTTAATCAGCACTCAGGTCAAATTCAGCTGTTTATGGGATCATGTAGACTGATTTACCAACATCTCCAGATAATGTTTGTTTTTTTTTTTTTTAATCTAAGAGCTACACCATTAATTTCTTCTCCTCATTCACTTTCAAGTTTGAAATCCAAACTCCTGATAAAGGCATCTCCCAGTTGTCCATGATCTGGCCCTTGCCTGCCTTTGTCTCGATGTTTTCTCTTAACTGTTATTTCTTACAATTCATGCTCCAGTTGTACCGGCATCCTGGGAGTTCCAGAAATGGCCGTGCTGACCCAGGTCTTTGCCCTTTTGATCCTTTTCCTTAAAAAGCCCTTCCTCACTTTGTCTCCTTGCCTAGTCCTTGAATATCTTCCAAGTCTCAGCTCTAAGACTTGCTTCCCTGACATCTTTAGTCAGGTTTAGGTCCTCCTGCCTTCTCTTGTCCTCTCATAGCATCTTGTAAAATATATAAATTGGTGCAAAAGTAATTGTGGTTTTTGCCAAATGAATGGCAAAAACTGCACTTACTTTTGCACCAATCTAATACGAATGGATCCATATCCATTTGCTGGAGTCACCTGCTCTCTCCTTCCTCTTCCACATGAGTCTGTATGACCCTCATGGGAGAGAAATGTGTCTTATTATTCTTTGAACACCTAGTGGTTGTCAGATAGCATGACTCACAGTCAGTGTTCAGGAAACCTTTGAGACATTAACCACAAGGCATGCTGAAATCTCACTCACAGGCTGCGGGGAAAGAGAAGAAGTGGAAGCAGGTAGAACTGGAGGGAGGAACCCACCAGCCTTTCTGATTGGCCCTGACCACGGGACACACAGTGGCCCCCAGGATCAGTATCAAACTGGGTAAAATGCAAGTAAAATGAAAACTGGTAAATACAAGCTCGATGCAAGCTGTCAGCACTTCCAAGGAGAATGCTTTGTCCAGATTCAGGGGTCTCAGGTTTTAGTTGGGGGATAAGCAGTCAGGGCATGATGTGGGGTGTGGGGATCTCTTTTTCCTGCAACAGAAATATATCAGGGCTTCACAGGAGAGCGGGCACCAATGTACAGGACTCCTTTCATTAATTACATTTAAATTAACTTAATGTTAGATTAAATTTATTAAAATTTTTGAGATAATTGTAGATTCATATACAGTTGTAAGAAATAGGACAGAGAGATCCTTAAAGTGGGCATCATACAGAGAGGGAAGTATCCTTGATCTCTGTTTACCCATGAGAAAAGGACCATTTGCCCAACCATTTAGCAGGCTCACTAAGCGGAGCCAGTGCTGGACCTTGTGCTGGTGAAAGACATCTAGAATCTGACTGGATCTAGTCACTCTGCCTCTAAGGACTTACAGTCTAGGGAGATTGGCCAATGAAGTAACAATTACAGTGTTAAATGCCACAGTGGAGAGACCCTGTGTGTGTGAAAAGCATCAAGAGTGATGGATGTGGATTCTGTTGGGTTGTAATGATGGCGGTCGGATGGTGCATTAGGTTGGTGTCATGGGATGAGGGGCTGTTCAAGCGTCAGTCTTGAGCCTTGATGACACATCCTCCAGTTGGAGAAGGGAGGCTATGAATTCCGTGATGAGAATAGCATCAGCAAAGATACCAGGTCACTTCACAGCCTGGAGGGTGTCAAGGTGGGCGAGCCATTTGTCCTGATTGAAGGCAGTGTTCTGGTGGAGGAGTAGAGGGAGGGAGGCTGAGGCAGTTGGCAAGGGAGACTGGGGGGTCTGGTTGCATTGCTCAGGCATAATCCTGTGGGTAACTGGAGTGAGCTGCAGCCCTACAGGATTTCCTTTCTTTTTTTTTTTTTTTTTTTTTTTTTTTTGAGATGACGTTTTGCTCTTGTTGCCCAGACTGGAGAGCAATGGCGTGATCTCAGCTCACTGCAACCTCCACCTCCCATTTCAAGCAATTCTTCTGCCTCAGCCTCCTGAGTAGTTGGGATTACAGGTGCCTGCCACTACGCCCAGCTAATTTTTGTATTTTTAGTAGAGATGGGGTTTTGCCATGTTGGCAGGCTAGTCTTGAACTCCTGACATCAGGTGATCCTCCCGCCTCGGCCTCCCAAAGTGCTGGGATTACAGGCGTGAGCCACTGCGCCCAAGCCTACAGGATTTTTTAAATGGGAGTTGCTTGGTGAGGTTTGGATTTTGAAAATTTACTTTTGTCAAAGAAGCCCTTCACGTATGAAGGTCTATAGTCTCCCCTTGGATGGAGAATAAGGAGCTGCTCACGGCCTCAGCTCTGCAATCTTCCTGCGCATCCTTACTCTCAACCTCAATCCTACCTCACACAACTCTACAGATTACAATCCAGGCCGTGTGCGGTGGCTCACGCCTGTAATCCCAGCACTTTGGGAGGCTGAGGTGGGTGAATCACCTGAGGTCAGGAGTTTGAGACCAGCCTGGCCAACATGGCCAAACCTCAACTCTACTAAAAATACAAAATTACTCTGGGAGGCTGAGGTGGGTGGATCACGAGGTCAAGAGATCGAGACCATCCTGGCCAACAGGTGAAACTCTGTCTCTACTAAAAATACAAAAATTAACTGGGCATGGCGGTGTGTGCTTGTAGTCCCAGCTACTCTGGAGGCTGAGGCAGGAGAATCGTTTGAACCCGGGAGACAGAGGTTGCAGTGAGCTGAGATGGTGCCACTGCACTCCAGCCTGGCAACAGAGGGAGACTCCGTCTCAAAATAAAATAAAATAAAATAAAATAATAAAAATTTAGCCAGGCATGGTGGCAGACACCTCTAATCCCAGCTACTCGGGAGGCTGAGGCAGGAGAATCGCTTGAACTCAGGAGGCAGAGGTTGCAGTGAGCTGAGATCAAGCCACTGCACTCCAGCCTGGGTGACAGAGCAAGACTCCGTCTCAAAAACGAAAACAAAAACAAAAGCAAAAAAAAAAAGATTATAATCCAAACTGTCTACGAAGAGCCCCCAGTTGCTTCACCAAAGTAAGGTCCATGCCTCTCTTTGTGGTAAGTAAAAGTGCCTGTTTACTGTCTCTCTGGCAGTGGGATCTGTTGTAGGAGCAGACTGAGTTGGATGTAGGGAGAGAGATGAACTTGTAAAGCCCCTCAGTCTGGAATTCCATGCTTCATCTTGGAAGCTGTAGGCTTTGCTTCCTGTGTGGTCTCAGGCTCATCCTCCCATCTCAGTTTCCCCATCTGGAAAAATGGGAGAACAATATTTACCTTCTTGGGGTGCCTCAAGAATTATTAGTCATGGGGGAAGGATTTGGAGAAGGCAGACAAAAAGCCTTCTCCAGTGTTCTGCAGTCTCCAGACCTGACTGCCGCAGTGTGGGCAGATAAGACAAGCTGGTGAGAAGGAGACAAAAACATGTGTGTTGTGAACTAGCTCTGTCTTTGCTCTTTCTCCTTCCTTGGGGTCAGAGATTTGCTTGTGCTCCAGCCTAGCAGAGGTCATTTTTCCAGGAAAGCATCTTCTTTCATCTGGCTAGTAAGTTTTCTCACCTGTAAAATGGAGCTCTGTGGTCCATTCCTCATGGGGCAGTTTGAGAATAGCGCTTGGCACATATACGTGTTCAATAAATGTTCGAGACTTGAAAAGAAAAAAAAGGTCTTAAGCATCGGAGGCCTTTCAGATGCATAGAATTCATCAAATTCTCCAGAGGCTGCAAGGAAAGAACCAAGAATGTAGGATTCAGAGCTAGAGTGGTGTGGGTTCAAATCGTGTGCTCATTATTTACTTGTGAGGCTTCAGGCAACTTCCTTAAAGAGCTGTAATTTTCTCATCTGACACATGGAGATTTGACCCTCTATCTTATCAGATACCCCTTCTACTTGAGAAGGTAAAGTATGATCACAAATATAAAGTGACCAGCACATGGTGAGGGCCTCAGCACCGAGTAGGTGATAATTTCTTTTGTTTTGGCTTCTGCTGCTTGTATTCCCACACCAAACACCACTCCATGCTGGAGACAGATGACCTGCCCAGCCAGGCCAGGGGGGACACAGGCTCTCATCCACATGACACAAAGTACAAAGCCTTGGCTTTGCCTTCTCTCCGGATGGTCAGGCAGCTGTTTGGAGAGACAATCAAAGGTTTGCAGCTGCAGCTTTGGGCCACAAACAGACGGCATCATGCAGCCCTGTTGGGGGCAAGTGCCTTTGGGAACAGGAAAGTCACTCCTTGGGGGACCTTCTTCTAATGTCTAAAGGCCATTTCCGACTTTTGAAAAACAACTCATTCTGCTCTCTAACTGCAAAGAAATTGGATACCATAGTCCCAAATACAATCTTATTGACCACTTCTCTTTTATAGATTATTTTTTTAGGGACAAAAACAATGGAAATTCACCAGCATCACTAAGAAATGATGAGAGTTCCATAGTCTTTAGGGTAAGGTGCAGCCAAGACCCCCAAAAGTCAAGCCCTGTGTCTCGGCTACACGAAAAACTGGCAATCCTTGTGGAGCCGGAAAGGTGGCTGAATTTAGGGAGAAGCCAAGTAGTAAGCCATTCACTCATTCATTCATTTAGTAATTCCTTCACTCGTGCATTCATTGAACTAATACTCACTGAACACTTGCTGGGTCCTCGGCTTTATATTGCTGCTGGAGATATAAAGGCCCAGTGCTGGAGATTTAAGGGCCCAGCCCTGGAGATGTGAAGGCCCAGTGCTGGAGATGTGAAGGACCCAGCGCTGGAGACGTGAAGGGCCCAGCGCTGGAGATGTGAAGGGCCCAGCGCTGGAGTTGTGAAGGGCCCAGCGCTGGAGATATAAAGGCCCAGTGCTGGAGATTTAAGGGCCCAGCCCTGGAGATGTAAAGGCCCAGCTCTGGAGATGTAAAGGCCCGGCGCTGGAGATGTAAAGGCCCGGCGCTGGAGATGAAAGGGCCCGGCGCTGGAGATGTTAAGGGCCCGGCGCTGGAGATGTTAAGGGCCCGGCGCTGGAGATGTTAAGGGCCCGGCGCTGGAGATGTTAAGGGCCCGGCGCTGGAGATGAAAGGGCCCGGCGCTGGAGATGTTAAGGGCCCGGCGCTGGAGATGAAAGGGCCCGGCGCTGGAGATGAAAGGGCCCGGCGCTGGAGATGTAAGGGCCCGGCGCTGGAGATGTAAGGGCCCGGCGCTGGAGATGAAAGAGCCCGGCGCTGGAGATGTTAAGGGCCCGGCGCTGGAGATGTAAGGGCCCGGCGCTGGAGATGAAAGGGCCCGGCGCTGGAGATGTTAAGGGCCCGGCGCTGGAGATGAAAGGGCCCAGCGCTGGAGATGAAAGGGCCCAGCTCTGGAGATGTAAGGGCCCAGCACTGGAGATGTAAAGGCCCAGTGCTGGACAAGTAAAGGTCCAGCGCTGGAGATGTAAAGGCCCAGTGCTGGAGATGAAAGGGCCCAGCGCTGGAGATGAAAGGGCCCAGTGCTGGAGATGTGAAGGCCCAGTGCATAAAGGTCATAATATACTGTCTGAAAGGAGATAATGATGTAGTAAGAACCAAACTGGAAGGGGATAATGGTAGGGGAGTGTGATCAATGCATTAATCAAGGTATGTGCTGGGCTGGCAGGTACTGGCTGATTCTAGTACATCACAAAGAGCCATCACTGAAGGTTTGGAGGAGGCAGAGAACTTAGAACTGGCTCAGAAGGATGAGTTGGGGTTCATCAGGAAGTCTGGTGCTCCCTGCGGAGACAGCAGTAGACACAAGGGCTTGCCAAGATGCAGTATCTTCCAGAAGCCACTCTAAGACTGTAGGCAGAGGAGCCCTGTGACCAGGTTAGAGAGGGCAGCGAGTCTACCGCCCAGAGAAACCACTGGAAGTAGAGAAAACCAGAGGCAGGAAGCTCAGCTGGCTGAGGTAAGGAAATCAGAAGATAAGCCCCACATCTGAGGCCCTCACCAGAGCAATAACTATAATAGTTTATGTTTAACTTGATCAGTGCTGCCAAGAGCTTAACTTAGATGAATTGACTGAACCTTCACAGCAATTCTTTAAGGCCAGAGACTACCTGCTTAGGGTCACAGAGCTAGCGCATGAAGGCTCTGCGTCTTAAGTATTGTCTATGTGAACTTGATGTTCAAAACCTTGCTCTAAGTGTCTAAACCACTAGTGCACCAGAGTAGATGGGAAGGCTGGGGACAGGCAGAGAGTGCCCTCTATCCCCATAGTCCCTATGGTTGCCAGCTCCTGGGTCTACCCTGGCTTGGAAGTCAGACACCTGCCTATGTCTTTCAGGCTTTGACACCTCTGCAAAGAGTCTTTTGTTCCCATGGCAGTTTTGTCTTCTTTCAGAAGACTGTGCTCCCCATCATGCCCACCAGCGCCGTGCTGTTCCCCGCTGCACTTCTTGTGCTGTAAGTCCATTCTCACATCCCCCTGATGCTTGCGTGGATGCCCCATGTCAGCCTAAGAAATCCTGCACCTTCTCCCCTGCCTCCTAACTAGCCTCTCGCAATGTCTCTCCAGCTGCGGAATCTCCCATATGTCAAAAAACACCTCTGGCTGGGCGCAGTGGCTCACGCTTGTAATCCCAGCACTTTGGGAGGCCGAGGCAGGCGGATCGCAAGGTCAGGAGTTCGAGACCAGCCTGGCCAACATAGTGAAACCCCGTCTCTACTAAAAATACAAAAATTAGCCAGGCATGGTATTGCACGCCTATAGTCCCAGCTACTCGGGAGGCTGAGGCAGGAGAATCGCTTTAACCCAAGAGGCAGAGGTTGTGGTGAGCCAAGATCGTGCCACTGTACTCCAGCCTGGGTGACAGAGCGAGACTCTGTCTCTAAAAACAAACAAACAAAAAACAAAAACATTTCCTGTGCTTCTTGTTTGCTAAGTGAGTCCTGCTCCACTCAAGTCGCAAAAAGGGGTAATTGGAACTGAATGCTGCATTAGAATTAATAACAAGAGTCAGCCCCAGCTTTGGGCCTGCCCTCAGTGGGGTCCATGCTTTAGAGAAGAATGGGAGGAGCATGGTGAAGAGGAGTCCTGGACACAGGGGCTTTGCAGAGGGAAACGCTCCAGAGACAGCCTGTGTCCCAAAGCTGACAGAGCACCAGGCCTGATACCTGGAGTTGAGCATCATAATGGCACAGAGCAACATGACCCAGGTGTGAAGGTGTGGGCTTGCCAGATGATGTGACACAAGGTCACATATTTAACAATCATACAGAACTTACTATGTACCAGGCACTGTACTTAGTGCTTTGCAAACACCAACTCCTTCAAAATGATAACTCTAGCTGGGTGTGGTGGCTCACACCTGTAATCCCAGCACTTTGGGAGGCTGAGGTTGGGAGGAGGCAGATCATAAGGTCAGGAGTTTGAGACCAGTCTTGGCAACATGGTGAAATCCCATCTCTACTAAAAATACAAAAAATTAGCCAGGTATGGTGGTGGGAACCTGTAATCCAAGCTACTTGGGAGGCTGAGGCAGGAGAATCGCTTGAACCCAGGAGGTGGAGGTTGCTGTGAGCTGAGATTGCGCCACTGCACTCCATCCCGGGTGACAGTGTGAGACTCCATCTCAAAAAAAAAAATGATAACTCTATGAAGGTGATACTGTTACTATCCCCATTTCACAGGTAGGGAAACTGAGGCACAGGGACGTTAAAGAACTTGCCCCATGTCACACAGGCAGAAACAGGCAGAACGAAGAGTTAAACCTCAGCCCTCCAGCTGTAGTCTGTGCTCTTCACCGGTCACTCCAGGCTGCTTGTGGCTGCCTCTCCTGTATTGAATGCTCTCTTTGCAGGGTGCCAAGGGCTCCCTGGCTGGTGCCAACCCCCATTTAGAATATCTGGGAACCCCAAGCCCACTGTGGTCACTGGTTCTTTCTGATACAGTACAGAGTTCCAACTTCACTATCTGACCCAAATCTTCTCTCTGCTTCTCTCAAACTTTGGAACCTCGGACAAGTTAACTTTGTCTCCTGAGGCTTGTTTCTCCATCTCTAACCCAAGGATATCTCTGCTGCTTACTCAGGGTTATAGTGAGAATTAAAGGAGGCTATGGGCGTTTTTATTTTTATTTATTTTTTTTGAGATAGGGTCTTTCTCTGTTGTCCAGGCTGGAGTGCAGTAGCATGATCTTGGCTCACTACAGCCCCTGCCTTCTGGGTTCAAGCAATTCTCATACTTCAGCCTCCCAAGTAGCTGGGACTACAGGTGCATGCCACCACACCCAGCTAATTTTTGTATTTTTATTGGAGACAGGGTTTCACCATGTTGGCCAGGCTGGTCTCGAACTCCTGACCTCAGGTGATCTACCCATCTCGGCCTCCCAAAGTGCTGGGATTACAGGTGTGAGCCACCGCACCCGGCCTGCTATTCTGACTTTTAAAGTAGTAATAGCTCCTGTTGATTGGGTACCGATTGTGTGCAGTCCCTATCCTAGCACTTCATAGACACCAAGAACCCCATGACAACACCCTGTAAAGTCTTTCTACTACCCATGGGCTTCACTACCAATGAGCTCATTACATTTAGTGGCTCAGTTGTCGTTAGAGATCCAGCTCTAAGGGGGATTTAAGGATTCTAAGGGGGAATGGCCTATGAATGACGTTCTCACTCAAAGCATGGGTGAGAGATGTGAGATGACAGATGTGAGAATCCCTGAGGCATGTTTTTGTGCCCCTCACTGGATCCTAGTTAATGCTTCTCAGGCAAGGTAATTGAAAACATTTGTTTTTATCTGCCTGGATTTTTCTCTTTTCCTTTATCTTTCATTTTCCTCCATTCAAGTATGCAGAAGGTCTGTGCTTCCTTAGCTCAGAAGTTTATAGTAGGAGGCTTGTGATTGGAGGTTTGTGGCCTAAGCTAAGTGCTGAAAGACCAAAGTCCTGCAGGGTTCAGGTAGGTAAAATGTCAGCAAAACACAGAGGAAACAGGCTGGGTACAAACATAATAAATAATCGTGGAGGAGTTGGGGCAAACTGATGTGTGCATACTGTATCTGAAGGTACCAGCGATACCAGATCTTATAACTTTCCAAAGATGTCTGTGTGAAATGTCCTGGTCTAAAATTTTGGCAATTAATTCAGCTTGATTTTTTTAAGCCAGAGGCAGGTGAACACACTGCTGGAAAAAAAGGCTTACCCTGACAGTTGCAGGCAGTCCTCTGGTACAGCCAAGGAATACAGGGTTTGAGAGAAGAAGCATCCCTCAAATGAAAGAGAGATTCACTTAGGATATGGGGAGAGAAGGATGTCTCTAGGAACTCTTTTTCTTTTATTTTTATTTATTTATTTTTTGAGACAGAGTCTCACTCTGTCACCCAGGCTGGAGTGCAGTGGTACAATCTTGTGATTACTGCAACCTCTGCCTCCTGGGTTCAAGTGATTCTCCTTCCTCAGTCTCCCAAGTAGCTGGGATTACAGGCATGCGCCACCATACCCGACTTATTTTTGTATTTTTAGTAGAGACAGGGTTTCACCATGTTGGCCAGGCTGGTCTCGAACTCCTGACCACAGGTGATCCGCCCACCTTGCCCTCCCAAAGGACTAGGATAACAGGTGTGAGCCACCGCTCCTGGCCTCTAGGGACTCTTTGAGCAAAGGGACCTGCATCCTGATGGCAAGACCTGCACCCTGGGATATGGTAAGACCCTAGGGGGAAAAGCTACTTGGTTCACACAGGAGGCTGGCAACACATGTGGAGCTCCCCTATCCAGAGAAGCTTGTGTCACATATCAGGGTGTCAGGCTCAAAGGGGTCATGTGGACTGGACAGTGGCAGGGGTCGGGGTGGTCAGAGGAGAAATTGCTTTGGACAAACCACTTATAACCATAGAGAGCCTTCCTGAACACCTTAATACTAGGTGACACCCTGGAGTCACTGACGCAACCTTGGGAGAAGGAGAGATCCAAAGTAGGATTGAATTTCTTCTATTTTGGTAGGAAAGAGCTCAGGATCAAAGTTAAGTTGATTTGTGTAAAGTTACTATGCTCGTTCACTCCCATCTGAGTTTGTGGACTGAGATTCATACTCATGCTTCTGTTTCAGGGAGTGCCATGCCACATCCGTCTTCTTCCCCTGAGGGTGTGACTTTGCATGTCTCAAGCACTTAGCTCCTCTCATCCCCTGCCAATTAGTGCTTTATCTCTTCCCATTAGGTGCTGTTGACCTCCCCAGACTCTCGGGGTCCTTCAGCCATTTGCACAAGATTGTCCTTGAAGCACACCAGCCAGTGGCCGTTGACAGGACACTTCTCCCAAAAACTTGTGATGGTGGGCTTTTTCTTCTTCTTCTCCTTCTCCCTCTCCCTCTTTCTCCTTCTCTTCCTCCTCCTCCTCCTCTTCCCCCCCTCCTCTTCACTCCCCTTCCTCCTCCTCCTTCTCCTCCTTCTCCTTCTCTTTCTCCTTCTCCTCCTCCTCCTTCTTTTTTTTTATTGATGGAATCTTACTCTGTTGTCCAGGCTGGAGTGCAGTGGTGCGATCTCGGCTCACTGCAGTCTCTGCCTCCTGGGTTCAAGCAATTCTCCTGCCTCAGCCTCCCGAGTAGCTGGGACTATAGGTGCACACCACCACGCCCAGCTAATTCTTGTATTTTTAATAGAGACGGGGTTTCACCATGTTGGCCAGGATGGTCTTGATCTCCTGACTTTGTGATCTGCCCTGTTCTGCCTCCCAAAGTGCTGGGATTACAGGTGTGAGCCACCACTCCTGGCCCCTACTTCTTTTTCAAGACACTTTTTCAGAGGTCTCCATTAAATGACAGTCTCTTGAGGTTATTCTAAAAAGGTCTCAGAATAGAGGATCCAGACGAGGCTTCCATCATCATGGACTCCATGTCATGTATTGTTGATAACCCATGTCTTTCACTCTCTTTCCATAATTCAGCTATATTTTCAGAATGCCAAACATATCTTGGGCACAGTGCTAGAGGCTGGAGGCACACGCAGGAATAAGCCTACTCTTAGAGTTCTCAGTCTAGTCAGGGAGGCAGAAGCGTCAAGAGAGCGCTGTCGTGTACCGTGGTGAGAGTTGGTGATGGCGTGAGTGACGGGGGAAAGGGTAGAGGAGGAGGCAACAGGCTGCTCAGGTGTAGGAGGATGTGGTGAGCTTCTAAAGAAAAAAGAATAGAAGTTCTCATGCTGACAATGGCATTGACCTGGGTTGGAAGAGTTGGGAATATAGGGATGAGGCCAGAGGTGAATGCTTATAATTCCTCATAGAGGGACATGAAATAAAGCTGTTTGGAGATGTCAAACTACTTAGTGTGTGTGGCAGGGACAATGTGTGTGCTCACCAATCCCCTTTCCGTTTTCCTCTTAGATATATGGTTAGACTATACTTCCCATTCCCTCTCGTAGTTTGGCAGGACCACGTGACTAAGTTCTGGCCAGTGAAATGTGTGCAATCTCCCACACTGTATTTCCCCATCCTTTGGCCTAATGAAGAGAACTCCAAAGACGAAGATGATAGAACCAAAAATTGGATGGAGCCAGGGCCCCTGAATGACTGTGTGGAATAGAGACCCAGAGGACTCTAATGTGAGCTGGAAAAGTTTATTGCTTAGATCACTGTGATTTGGAGATTGTTTGTTCCTTCTGCTGTTCTATCAATGCTGCTACCGAATAAAGTCCAGGGAAGGAGGAGAAATTAGAGATTAGACTGAATAGGAAGATTGGGGGGGGCCAGGTTATGAAGGGCCATGAGTACCAGTCTAAGGAGTATGAATGGCCATGGCAAATTTTTTTTTCTCTTTCTTTCTTTCTCTCTCTTTCTTTCTTTCTTTCTTTTTTTTTTTTTTTTTTTTGATAATGTCTCATTCTGTTGCCCAGGCTGGATTGCAGTAGTGTGTGTGATTAAGACTCACTATAGCCTTGACCTCCCAGGCTCAAGTGAACCTTCTGCCTCAGCCTCCCAAGTAGCTGGGACCACAGGCATATGCTACCAGGCCCGGTTAATTTTTAAAAAAATTTAAGAGATGGGGTCTCACAATGTTGCCCAGGCTGGTCTTGAACTCCTGGACTTAGGCGGTCTTCCTAGGTTGGCCTCCCAAAATGCTAAGATTATAGGTGTGAGCTACCACAGTCGGCTGGCCATGGCAGATTTGCAAGCTTGTTTAGGGTAGAGTGGGAATATGAATGGTAGCGATGACAAGGCAGTTAGATTTGGCCACATTTCTCAGAGCATTAGCTCTTTTGGGTAGCAGTTATGGACATCTGGTTAAGAGAGCCTTATAGTTGAGAGGCTTAAAACCAGATTCTGTCAGCACCATGATGTACAACTTGAGGTCCTCATACCAAGTCAGAGCAAACCAAATCGACAATACTGTCAAGTATCTATTATGGTTTGAAAATTTTGTCCAATTCATTAGGTGGTATTCTTGACTACTGACATTCCCACAAGAAAGTCTACCTTCTGATGACCATTAATACTCTTAACATGCAAAGCAAACCAAAGACATTTTAGACACCTTTCAAAGAGGATTCCTGCTCGTCTTTGCCAATGGAGGGGGACTGTGGGGAGCCCCAGATGATTTATTTGACATATAAAAAGTCTAAAGAAAGGCAGGCAATAACAAATGCTGGCAAGGATGTGGAGAAAAGGGAACCCTTATGCCCTGTTGGTGGGAATGTAAATTAGCACAACTATGGGGAACAGTTTGGAGGTTCCTCAAAAAACTAAAAATTGAGCTACCATATGATCCAGCAGTCCCACTACTGGGTATATATCCAAAAGAAAGGAAATCAGGCTGTTGAAGAGATATCTGCACTCTCATGTTTGTTGCAGCACTGTTCACAATAGCCAAAATTTGGAGCAATGTAAGTGTCCATCAATAGATGAATGGACAAAGAAAATGTGGTACTTATACACAATGGAGTACTATTCAGCCATAAAAAGGAATTATATTCTGTCATTTGCAACAACATGGATGGAAATGGAAGGATTTATGTTAAGTGAAATAAACCAGACACAGAAAGACAAACATCACATGTTCTCACTTACTTTGGGATCTAAAAATCAAAACATTGAACTCATAAACATAGAGAGTAGAAGGTTGGTTACCAGAAGCTTGGAAGGGTAGTAGGGGTTGGAAAATGGTTAATGGATACAAAAAAAAATAGAAAGAATAAATAAGACCTACTATTTGATAGCACAACAGGTTGACTATAGTCAATAATAACTTAATTATATATTTTAAAATAACAATGTAATTGAATTGTTTGTAACACAAAGGAAAATGCTTGAGGGGATGAATACTCCATTCTTTATGATGTGCTTATTGCACATCACATGCCTGATTCAAAACATCTCACGTACCCCATAAATATATACACGCACTATGAACCCAGAAAAGTTAGAAATAAAATTCAAAAATTTGAAATACAAAAACAATTAATTAAAAATTAAAGTCTGAGGAAATTGGTGAACTGTTTCTAGCAAAGTTACATAAATGCACACAAGCAACTTGAGCAGTACAATATAAGTCCAAGGAAAATTTGGATCCTGTTGACTCATCAGATGTGAGGTGAACTTTGACTTTGGAAGAAATCCTTCCATTTGATACACGGTGCCGGGAAAGATCTAGGATGCTTCGGTATTAACAGTGTTTTCTGTGGTTGTATGCATAGCAACAAAGAGGTTAGGCCAAGGCAGATATTATTCACTTGAGAGAAACCAGATTAGAGGCAAGTGGGGGGCATGAGCAAATGTGTGTGTATGACCAGGGCTGGAATTGTTGTCTCATAGAGTGTCCATAAGCCAATGGGTATTTCACTGTTGCCTACAAAGCAGACCACAACTTTGTGCAAAAGAAATGCCACATCACGGGTGTCTATTTAGTGCAGGATTGTATTTTAGGTGTTTTTTTCTGATGCAAGAGCTATATTTCCACTACAGAGTAACAGGTGATATTCATATGGAACTGGCATATATTGTGTGCCCATGAGGTGCCAGGCTCCATGCTAGATGTTTTGCATCATTATCTTGTCTAGTTTTAACCAGAACTCTTTAGGGTAATGTGGTGCTATTTCCATTTCATTTATGTAGATATTGAGGTGTAATGAGAGTATGTGATTGCCTAAGGTCATCCAACTTGTGAGGGGTAGGGCCTGGAGGTAGAGTCTAGTTTTCCAATTTCAATTTCAAATCCACATTCTTTTTACTCCAGGCCTTTTTGTTGTTGTTGTTTCGTTTTGTTTTGAGACAGGGTCTCACTCTGTCTCCCAGGCTGGAGTGCAGTGGCAATCATAGCTCACTCTGGAGCCCCAAACTTTCAGGCTTAAGTGATCCTCCCATCTCAGCCTCTCTAGTAGCTGGTACTACAGGTGTGTGCCACCACGCCTGGCTAAGTTCTGATTTTTTGCAGCGACAGGGTTTCTTCATGTTGCCCTGGATAGGTTTTTTGTTTGTTTGTTTAAGACATCGATTAATTAGTAAATTTCTTCTCAAGAAAGCAGAATGTTTTGTTTACATATGCTGATAGATATTCTTACCTGCTAGATGTAGTACTGATAACTAGAAAATTTGTGGTTTCATCGCACACATTTTTGGAGATTGGTGTTACTCTCCTCTCCTCTCTTTTTTTGGTTTTTGTTTTGTTTTGTTCTGTTTTTCGAGATGGAGTCTCGCTCTATCACTCAGGCTGGAGTGCAGTGGTGTGATCTCAGCTCACTGCAAGCTCTGCTTCCTGGGTTCATGCCATTCTCCTGCCTCAGCCTCCCGAGTAGCTGGGACTACAGGTGCCTGCCACCACGCCTGGCTAATTTTTTTGTTTTTTTTTTAGTAGAGATGGGGTTTCACCGTGTTAGCCAGGATGGTCTCGATCTCCTGACCTCGTGATCTGCCCGCCTTGGCCTCCCAAAGTGCTGGGATTACAGGTGTGAACCACTGTGCCTGGCCTTTTTTTTTTTTGAGATGGAGTCTCGCTCTGTCACCCAGGCTGGAGTGCAGTGGCACGATCTCAGCTCACCTCAACCTCCGCCTCCCAGGTTCAAGCGATTCGCCTAGCTCAGCCTCCTGAGTAGCTAGCTGGGATTACAGGTGCGCACCACCATGCCCGGCTAATTTTTGTATTTTTAGTAGATACTGGGTTTCACTATGTTGGCCAGGCTGATCTCAAACTCCTGACCTTGTGATCCGCCCACCTCGGCCTCTCAAAGTGCTTGAATTACAGGCATGAGCCACCATGCCTGGACTTTTTCTTTCTCTTTCACTTCTCTTCCATCCCCTTTTCTTTCTTGTTTTCTTCTCTTCTCTCCTTCTTTCCTCTCCTTTTTCTCTTTCCTCCCTTTCCTTCTCTTTCCCATTTCCCGTTTCCCTTTCTTTCTCATCTCTGTATTTAATAATAAAGAAAACACTGAGGGTAACTCACTAAATTCATTTCATGACTCATGAATGAGCTAAACCAATAGTCTAAAAATGCTGCTTAGAGAGAAGTTTCCAGAGCTTCTGTGAGTTTCTCTGGCTCCTGCATTCTCCCAACGCCTGTTGTTTTGGTCTTCCTTGGATTCTGTGAGCAACACTGAATCCTTCCTGTAAGCTGCCCCCACTCCAGTCCTCCATTGTTCTGTGCCTGAACAAGAAGGTCGGTTCACATTGCTTGTAACTGAGGAACCTTAGCTATCAACTGACATCCCTTGTCAACATTTTCTCTCTGCCCCTTACTCCATTCTCCCTCAGATTGTAGGCAGATTCATTCAACAGCATTGCCAGTGCTTTTGGCTCCTAGAACAGTAATTAGGCTCTGGGTTCCTGAGGCCACTTAGTCATCACTACAAGAAATAAAAAATAGCCGAGCATGGTGGCTCATGCCTGTAGTCCCAGCTACTTGGGAGGCTAAGATGGGAGGATCTGCTTGAGCCTAGGAGTTCAAGGCTGCAGTGAGCTATGGTCATGCCGCTGCACTCCAGTGCTTGAGTGTTGTATCCACCTGGAGACAAAAAGGGGCTTTTAAAACATTAGCACAGAAGCACCATGCTAGCAATAGTGCCGGGATGAGTTGCAGGAGGTTAGAAGGTATCATCAGTGCTGCTGATGGAGAAGGGAGTGCACAGCTAGCAGGCCCCTCTCTGGATCTGGTTGGTACTGTGTGTCAGGGAGCTAAAGGGGACTCTACTAGATTTCAGGGTGATATGCACTCATCCTATGCCACCTCTTCTTCTGACTAGGGTCATGACCTAAGGTAACATGAAAAACTTGGAAATGAGACATTTTAAAAATAATATTTTAGCCAGGCATGGTGGGGTGTGCCTGTAGTCCCAGTTACTTGGGAGGCTGAGGCAGGAGAATCACTTGAGCCCAGGAGTTTGAGGCCATGAGCTATGATTGTGCCACTGTACTCCAGCCTGGGCAACGTAGCCACAGTAAGACCTATATCTGAAACAAAACAAAATGAAAAACCAGGAATGTTTTGCAGAATATCGTCATTTTAAAATGCTTTCTCATTCATTGTTTTGACATTTCTTTTGCTCTGACCTCTTAACAGAGTAAAAAAAAAAAAAACTGGGACCAGGGAGATTATACTTAGGGAGAAGGCGGCAAAGAATGATGCGAAGATCTAGACAGGATTTGAGATCTAACAGACAGACCTAGTTTTCAGTTTTATTGTTCGTCATTCATTTATTCCGTAGGCTTCTTATTTGTAAGCTATTATGTGCTAAAAATGGTGCTGGGCAGGGTTGGTGTCATGGGCACATGACTTCTGCAGTTACACAGGACTCCACATGTGGGGGGTTCCTGCATGTGCTTTTTTTGCATTTTTAAAACTGATATATCATAGTTGTACTTATTTTGGGGGTACATGTGGTATTTTGATACATGCATACAATGTGTAACAATCAACTTAAGGTAATTAGGACATCCATGATTTCAAATGTTTAACTTTTCTTTGTGTTGAGAGCATTACAATTCTTCACTTCTAGCTATTTTGGAATATACCATTGTTCCAAACTATTGTTAACTATAACTTCCCTACTGCACTGTCGAATATTAGAAGTTATTCATTCTATCTAATTTTTTTTTTTTTTGAGATGGAGTCTCGCTTTGTCACCCAGGCTGGAGTTCAGTGGCACAATCTCGGCTCACTGCAACCCCCGTCTCCTGGGTTCAAGCGACTCTCCCATCTCAGCCTCCTGAGTAGTTGGGATTATAGGCATGCACCACCATGCCCAGCTAATATTTGTATTTTTAGTGGAGACAGGGTTTCACCATATTGGCCAGGCTGGTCTCAAACTCCTGACCTCAAATGATCTGGCTGTGTCAGTCTCCCAAAGTGCTGGAATTACAGACCTGAGCCAACACTTCTGGACTATCTAATTGTATTATTATTATTATTATTTTCATAGACGGAGTCTTGCTCTGTCACGCAGGCTGGAGTGCAGTGGCACAATCTCGGCTCACTGTAACCTCCACCTCCCGGGTTCAAGCAATTCTTCTGCCTCAGCCTCCTGAGTAGCTGGGATTACAGGTGCCCACCACTGTGCCCAGCTAATTTTTGTATTTTCACTAGAGATGGGGTTTCACCATGTTGGCCAGGCTGGTCTCGAACTCCTGACTTCAGGTTATCCACCCGCCCTGGCCTCCCAAAGTGCTGGGATTACAGGTGTGAGCCACTGCGCCCAGCCTCTAATTGTATTTTTATACCCATTAAACAATTTCTCGTCTTCCCCCTCCCAACACACATCACCCTTCCCAGCCTCTGGTAACCACCATTCTACTCTCCACCTCCATGAGATCCACTTTTTTGTCTCAAACATATGTGTGAGAACATGCAATATTTGTTTTTCTGTATCGGGCTTATTTCACTTAACATGATGACCTGCAGTTCCATCCATGTTGTTGCAAGTGACAGGATATCATTTCCTTTTTAAGGATGAGTAATATTCCATTGTGTATATGTAGCACATTTACTTCAACCATTCATCTGTTGATGGACACTTGCGTGGATTTTACATCTTGGCTATTGTGAACAGTGCTGCGATAAACATGGGAGCACAGCTATCTCTCAGAAGGTCCCAGGCTTGATTTAATGATCTACTGTTACCATCTTGAAATTCTTAGTAATTGTTAGACAAGAAACCCTGCATTTCCACTGGGCATGGTGGCTCATGCCTGTAATTCTAGCACTTTGGAAGGCCAAAGCTGGAGGATTGCTTGATCTCAGGAGTTAGAGACCAGCCTGAGCAACACAGTGAGACCCCATCTCTACGAGAAATAAAAAATAGCCACGCATGGTGTGGCTTATGTCTGTAGACCCAGCTAGTTGGGAGGCTGAGATGGGAGGATCTGCTTGAGACTAAGAGTTCAAGGCTGCACTGAGCTATGATCATGCCATTGCACTCCAGCCTGGGTGTCAAACAAGATCCTTTCTAAAAAAAGCAAAACGAAACAAAACAAAACAAAAACAGCCCTGAAACCCTGTATTTTCATTTTGCATTAAGGCCTACAAATTATGTAGCTGGTCCTGATGCCTGATGCTAGGTATAGAATCCGGAGCTGAGCAAAAACCAGCCATGGTCCTTGCTCTAGCATAGAGTATAGTATAGGAGGTTGACTACCTGGGACAACTCACTTTGTGATTCTCAGTTTTCTCATCTGTAAAATGGAGATAGTCATTCCAACTTCAAAGAGCTGCTGTGAGCACTAGAGATGATTGTGTAAAGTGTCCAGCTCAGTGGCTGGCATGATGTGCTCAGTGGGCATGAGATGCAGAGTCCCCATTTCCCTGGTCTCTCAAGGGAGGTCAAAGCTGGTATTTTTCCTGCTACCTTGCTCTCATTGACCCACCTAAATACTCTTCCATCTGTTACACACTTGGTGTCTTTTGGGGATCAACCTCTTTGTTAGAAGCCTTTGTCTTCCACTCTGCAGTTGGGCACACCCAGGATCCCAAAGCCTGCCAAGGCTTTCCCACTGGGAAGCTAGCATTCCTCCAGTGCTTTGGATTTGCCATGGCAGTGCCCTAATGGACCCAAGGCTGATTCTTCAGGCTGGTTGAAGCCCTGGAGGCCCCCATAAACCTGAGTGTCATGAACAGATGGCAGCTTCAGATTCATAGCATCTGTTGGTGTCAAATGTTAGGAAGAGCACAGCCAATCAATTATCAGAGCGTCCTTGTTGAACAAGGCTCTGGTCACTGCTGGAAACCATACCAGAGCTGTTGGTAGTGCCAGGCATTTTTCAAGGAAACACAAGCAATTTAAGATAATCCATGGGTGGAATTTTCATCCCGGGCTCCCCAGTTTCCCTGAAGAACTGTGTGCAGTTGCCAAATGATAGTGAAATAAGCAGTTTGTGATTTCCTTTGAGAAACAAATGCCTTGTGATGGGAGTTAGAGTGAGTCCATCATAATACGTAAGAGAAGAGGGACAGCGTGATTCAAAAGCAAGAGCATGGATTTTGAAGTCAGAAAATCTGGGCTCAAGTCCCATCCTCGAGTTTTAGTAGCTGTGTGTCATTAGACAAGTTACTTGCCCTCTCTGATCCGCAAGATCCCTAGCTATAAAATAGAAATAATACTAGTTACCTTCCAACGCTGTATGTAAAGGAAATAGTACAGGCAATATCATGGAACTCTAATTATCAACATTGCTTTCCTTTCCTGTTCTGTTTTGGGTATCCACTGGCTGAAAGGCTGGGAGGTAGATTCTAAAAATGAAGCTAAGAGGCTACTTTGTATGGGTCATGCTTATGCCAGTTTCCTGATGGCCCATTTCCATGGGCAATTGGCACTGTTATTACATCAATACTTGTCACTCTAACATGGTACAGGTTCACCTCCAGCTCAGCAGCTCTCTGGCCGAGTGCTAGCTCACCCTGGGGATTCTCAGATCTCAGCACTGACACATGTCTTCATGGTGAAGACAGACTGATTGTGTGCCTAAAGGTAGACAGTTGTTTCTCTGCTTGAGGTCTTTTGACTATGCAGATCATGTTGTCCAAGGCCAGCATTACTGCCTCCTAACAGGTCTCTTGCGGATAATCCAGAATTATCATCTTCAGTCTACTCTACCTTATTCCCTTCTTCGTTCTCTGTCTCATCATTCATATATTCATTCTCTGAATGAGGATTGTAAGCTAGCACTGGGAACACAATAGTAGACAAGACTGGGAGCAGCCATGCCTTCAGGGAGTATCCAATCCAGAGGAGGAGACACAGTGGCTGAGGAGTGCAGCTGCAGGCTGTGGGTGCTTGAGGAAAGCAGGTGCACACCAGGCTGAGGGTGGGAGGAAGTGTCGGAAAAGGTGCCTTTCGAGAGCCAGAATTGACAAGTAGCCACCCAGTGGACCTGTGTTTCTTCTGGCTTCTGAGGGTCCTCCTATTTAGAATGTGAGTGACTGTGTCTTGTGTCATCATTCTGTCCATGTTTATCTCTTCAAGTAGACTAAGAATCCTGTCAGAGCAGGAACTGCATCTTCCTCAAGTAGCTATCCCTCCATGCTAATGTTAAATGATTAGGAATCAATCAATCAATCAATGAATTAGTTAAGTAGTTGAAATGAGCATAGGGCGATTTTGGGTGGAGTCACCATCGTGAATAAATATCCCTGTGGTACTTAGGAGAAGGATTCACGTACACACTTCTTGTACGTGAATTTGTACTTCTTGTACTTAAATTTTTGCTAGTGCCAATTCAGGCAAAGCATATTTTGTAGCTTCTTAATTGTAGTGAGCTGAAACTAACAGCAACAAAAAAGCAACACAAATAATAACTACTATCTAGTGAGAACTTACTATATATCAGGGATTGTACCAAGTCCTTCTCATGTTTACCCATTTAATTCTCAGACTGTCTTTATGATACAGTGACAATTATTATCATGCCAATTTTACAGGAGGGGCAACTGATACATGGAGAGGTTCAGTTGTCCCCATAACAAGTAAGTTTCAGAGCCGAGGTTTGAACTAATGCGGTCTCCCTCCCACATCAGAGTTCTGGACCTTGGCAGTGGATTATCTCACTTCCTGCACCCTGTCAAGGGTTAATTCTTGCCTTGTGCCAGGAGCACTGGCAGATTTCTGGCAGTGTGTATTCATCCCTTTGCGGCCTTGGCACAGATTCCCATTCCCTTCTGCTGACTGATCTCTCTTAAAAGAAAGTCATTTTTGACAGAGACATGCATGGAAAGGTCCAGTTTATATGAGTTTAGTCAAGGAATTTCCAGTCCTATTGACAACTGAGTTGTAGCTTGCAGGACCCCACTATTACTCAGGAAAAAGGCTGTGACCGAATGGTTTCTGTCCTCTCTGCCGGCCAGCATTTTGCAATGTTGGTAGGGCCAGGCATTATGACAGGGAATCCAGTTGTTGTTGTGCATATTTCTGAAGACACACGATTCTGACATCTGTAACCCTGCAGTCAGTCAAGGTTTGTACCAGCGTTGTAATCTGTTTCAGGGCTGCCAAATAGTTCTTTTGAAAAACTTACTGGCAGCTTACCCGTTTTCTGCTGTTGTGTTTTGAACAAGTGTTTCCCAAAACTATTTCCTAACAGCACCAAAGGGTTGGAGGAGGAAGGAAAATAAAACAGGATAGTAGAATTTACTGGGGAGGAAAAACACAAAGTGAAACCACCACCACCATTTACCAGCGTCACTCCTAAGCCTGGACTGTGGCTCTGTGCTCTTCATAATTTGAAATCAGAGCTTCTGAGCAGGCGCCCTTTCTCTGGCAAAGGTGATCTCTGTTTTTATTTAGGTTCAGAGAGGGGTTTCTCTTCACCCCTTTGGAAGTTTTCAGTTGGCAACTGTGACTTCCGGGAGAGAAGTTGCAGGCAGTGGATGATTGGAAAATACCCAGTCGTAGAAGAGGCCAGATGCAAAGATGTTGATGACCTGTGGGTTTCAAGGGCAGGAACTCCTTGTTCTGCATGGTGACTGGTGTCACGTGTGTCCAGCTCAGGCCTGCTGACGGAGCCCGCTGCTCATACCATCTTGAGTTGAACAGACTGGACCAGAGGCCACTGGAAGCACAGCTCCTAAAAAATACCAACAGTGATTTTTGGCTTTTTCCCAGCAACCAGGGAATCAGATTGGAGCTAGGTCAGGGTTGTGAGCACCCATTGCTCTCCTGCACATTGTCCTTCCTTTTGGGGTTTTGGAATACACATGGATATATTTAACTAGATATATTACATATATTTTAAAGATATATACTTAGCGTATATATTTAACATAGATATTTCTAGAATATGCATATTCTGAATATATGAAACATCTAAGCTTGACATTATTTGTACATAAAGTAAGTATAATATTTACATTTATCACTTTAAATTTTATACATAGAATGGTTATTTCTCAAGATATCTATATATCTATGTATTTCCAGCTCCTAAATATATTTATATATCTTTATATCTAAATACAGCGAAGATGGTTCATATAAATAGATATATACACACGTACACACACACTGTATATATATGTATATATGTATATATATGTATATATATATTTCTCCTTTTCCAGCTTTTCCAGTTACCTGCACACACACACACAGATACACACACACAGACGCACATAAGCATCTCGTATATAGAGTTTCCTCTTTCTTAAGCTGCCATACCTCAGCAGTCATTGGACACCCCCACATGGCTGTCAGGGCCAGCAAAGCTGTATCCCCTTGGAGAGGCAGAAGAAATTCACAGTCCCCTTGTAAAATCTCTCACTTGCCTTGCACTTAGGGGATGTCAAAAGTGTTCTCTCTCTGCCAGCTCCTCACTTTCCATACCCCCTTGAATCTCACATATTTACCACCTTGTTTTTTCCTTCTTTTTTTCTTTACAATTTTTCAACAGGGCCTTTATTTTCATCAAACGAGCATTTTAATGCGTAGTTCAAGAGAAATTCAGTCCGTATGTTTCAGATTCATTTACAGTTAAATCATCAGTAGTTTTGCAATCACAATTTGGCAGCCAGGAGATCTTGGAGGCTTTTTTTTTTTTTTTTTTTAGGCCCTTTGACTTGGAGTCAAGATGTGCTGTACAGTTTGGTGCTGAGTGCTCTGGACGCCCCAGCAGGGCCGGAGAAAATCTGCAGAGGCAGCAGCAACTGGTAGGTGGAGCAGGGGTTTGGGCCTGCGGACTGTGCTTGCTTCTTTACCATGTGCTCAGAGGCCACTTATCTGAAATGAACTGTGCATTGTCACCCTGGGCTCGGCTTCTCCATCTATAGACTAGGGTGTTACCTACACTTATGAACGTCTTTGTGCTTCATTCCTTTTATCTTGAAAATAGGCATAACAGTAATAGGCTATGAAGGATGCATAAGCTATTCAGGGAAAATGCTTAGTATTTGGCCTTGTAAGAGTTCTATACGGCTGGGCACGGTGGCTCACACCTGTAATCCCAGCACTTTGGGAGGCCAAGGTGGGGAGGATTGTTCGAGCACAGGAGTTTGAGACAGCCTGGGGAACATCGTGAGACTCCCATCTCTATAAAAAATAAAAAAATTAGCTAAGCATGCTGGCATGCACCTGTGGTCCCAGCTACTTGGGAGGCTGAGGTAGGAGGATCTCTTGAGCCCAGAAAGTAGAGGCTGTAGTGAGACCTGTTTGCACCACTGCACTCCAGCCGGGATGACAGAGCAAGACCCTGTCACAAAAAAGAAAACAAAAAAGAGTTCAATAACTCAATGACGGTTACTATTGTTCACATTCCTGCCAGTTGGGTAGAAAATTGCCAATATTGAGGACACCTTGTATGTGCCAGGTGCTGTACTGGCTGCTTTTAACTCAGTTCTAATGAGAATCCCACCTTGTCTCCTACCTCTGCCTCTTACCTTGCTGAGTGTCTTTTCTTCTCTGCATGATTCGCTCTTCTCTTGACTTTCTTGACTGGCTGCAAGTTCACAGGGCTCTGTTGCAGGTCTCCTCTTTTCTGTATCCATACACTCTCCTTAGGCAGATGCATCTTTTTCTATAGATTTAACAACTTCTATGCTGTATTTTCATCCTCAACTTCTTCCCTGAGGTTAGGCCCATACATTCATATTCACTTGGATGTTGCCAGGGGCCTTTAACTCAATAGACCCAAAGCAACATGCTTGACCTCTCTGTTGTCCTCCCCACCTCCTCTGTCTCCAACAAATGGTCCTGTGTGCTTGATTCCTTGCCCTGGCTAATGCTATCACCACCCACCTAGTTACCTAATCCTGGGCACCCATCTTGATGACTCTTTCTGTTTAACCACCAGTCTAATAAATGACCAAGTCCTGTTGATTTTATGGATTTCAGGCTTTTTGAATTTGCTCCTTCCTCCCAGTTTCTGCAGTTCAGCAACTCAGGCTCTGGCAGTTCTCCTAATGGCAGCAGCAACAGCCCTTCTCTTACCTCCTGGCTTCCAGCATTGCCCCCTTGGAAGTGTGTCTTCCACTTGCGGCTGGGTGAGCTTCTGAGACAGGTCAGAATTTGCTTCTGGCTGCAAACTGTCTAAAGAATTAACAACCAAACTCCTAACTTTCACATTGAATGCTTGCTGCTGCCTATCCTTAAGTTACTGACCCACCCTCATCCTTGGTCTCATCTCCTGCCGTTAATTAAAACATAACAGTCTGGTAATCCCTGGGTGGGTCCTGAAGCCACTTTCTGAATGATTGTACTGGGGTGACATTCCAGATCTATTTGCTGTTTTATAAACTCAGGACATTGGGGAGATAATGGAGTAAGGGTGCCTCACTGTGCTACCTCCAGCAGACGCACATCATGCCTGCCTGCCAAGCAGAGCTCTGCAGACCAACTGCAACCCAGCTTCTGCAAGGGACCACAGATGCTGGTTCTCATTGGCAGTGCAAGTCAAAGGAAGTATGATGGTACTCTCTGGGTATAAGCTGTGGCACTTCAGGATTTGTTGAAGGGCAGGAGCTGGCTCTGGGTGGCTGAGGCAGGCCTTTTGACCTGCTCTTCCCTCATCACTAGGACTGGAGCAGAAGAGAAGCATCCTTGAGTCTCAGCAGAGCTCGTGGGTAGTCAGTAGGGTGGCTGTGAATTTGTAGTGGGAGGCTGACCTGCAGAGATGGATATCAGCTCTCTGCTTTCTTTCAGCCAGGACCAGGCACCCCACTCTGCTCACTCCATATTTTTATGCCAAGAGGAGAGAGATTGAGATGGACTATGGTCAAGTGCCTTCAATGAGCCTAGCTTCATGACAATGGCACGTGAGTGTAACCAGAACCCAGAATATTCTCATAGAAAGTGGTGGTGGCCTGGCTGACATGGTGGTGCGTGGCTGTAATCCCAGCACTTTGAGGGGCTGAGGCAGGAGGATCCCTTGAGCTCAGAAGTTTGAGAGCAGCCTGGGCAACATAGCAAAACCCCATTTCTACAAAAATTAAAAAATAACTGAGAATGGTGGTGCATGGCTGCAGTCCTAGCTACTCAGGAGGCTGAGGTGGGAGGATTGCTTGGGCCCAGGAGGTTGAGGCTATAGTGATCTGAGATCATGCCACTGTACTCCAGCCTGGGCAACAGAGCAAGACTCTGCCAAAAAAAAAAAAAAAAGAAAAGAAAAGAAAAGAAAGAAAAGGAAGAAAGGAAGGAAGGAAGGAAAAGAGAGAAGAATGTGGTGGCCCATGTCACCTGCTTCAGAATGTAGAACAAAATAGGATCAGAGTTTCTGACTGCTGCAAAGCTCCTCTGCAATTTGTTCTAGCAGATGCGCCCAGGACAGTCATACATGTTAGTGGACCAGGGAAAACCAAGCTGGGTGGACAGGAAAGCCCTGGAGCGAAAAAACCTGAATGTCTTTTTCTGTCTCCAGTGGCGGTTGGCTTGCTCTGGTCGCCCACTCAGCTTTTCCCCTGGACTCCAGAGGCCTGGTACATGCATATCTCCAAGAGAGTATAAACCAAGTAAAACTGATGTCTGTGTAAACTACTGAGGAATCATGGAGAGGGAGAGATGAATTCTACCCGGGGTGGGGCAAGGATTGGCAAAGAAAGGGACATTTATATTGGGTTACGGAAGAGGAATAGGAGTTTTATGGGCAGAAAATAGGGAAAAGCATTCACTGCAAAGACAAAAACCTGTGAAAAATCGTATTTAAAAGCTAGTAAAGGGGCTCACCCTAAGGGAAGAGTGGGGAAGATGAAGCTAGAAGGAGCCCCGCAGGGTGAAGGGCCAGAAGTTATGGGGGCTGAGAAGACTGGGCACTCTCCTTATCATGCCAAGAGGTGCTAGACTAGTGGGGTAAATTTTCCTGCAGCAGTTTCAAGTTGACTCGAACCCTGGCCTTTTCACCCTGGGCCCTATGCCCTTTTATTTTCTGTCTTCCTCCCGCCCTCAGAGTAATTTCAAATAGGTCTCATTTAAGTGAGTAAACATCTCCAATTCAGGCACCCTTCCAAGAAAACGAAAAACACAAAACAAAACAGAAACCTGGGGATTTTACTACTTGGAGCGTGGAGGGAAGAGGCATGCCCAGGCAGGAACCTAGCTCCAGACAGCTTGGGTGGGACAAGAGGGCTGATCAGAGATGCTGGGATTCCCACTTGGGAGACCAGCCCCAGGGATCTCCTTGCATTGCTTCTCTTTTTCAGGGGAAAAGAAATCTCAGAGCAAATATTTGTCATGAAAAGGAAATTTTGGCCGGCCTCAGAAATCACAGATAATTAAGAGATATGATTTATCATTCGTGATGTTTCCCCGTCATGGCCAGGGTATGAGTAAGTGTTTTTCAAGCTGCTTGGCCTTAAACTCAGCGGCGGCTGCTGGGGAAGGCTCTTCTCGCACGTCAGGGGCCTTGCTCTGTCGTCGTTGGGACACAGGCAGGGGCTGGGCAGAGGCTGGGCAGAGGCCTCTCAGTAACAGTTCCCTGGACCGTGAGCCCTGCCTGCCGAGGGAGGATGGCCTGGCAGAACGGAGGGAACGCTGGCTTTGAAGCAAGGCAGACCTAGGTGGGATTCCTTCCTCTGTCATGGCCTCCAGCAACTTCCTTAGCTTCTCTGAGCCTGTTTCCCCCTTTGTGGAGTTAACACAGAGGTTCTCAAATGAAGCAATTTTGCCTGCCACCCCAAGGGACACTTAGCAATGTCTGGAGACATTTTTGGTTGTCACACTAGGAGTAAGGGTACTGGTGGTATCTGGTGGGTTGGGGCCAGGGATGCTGCCACATGTCCTGCAATGCACAGCACAGCCCTCCACAATAGGGACCTGTCGGCTTCGATTGTCACTAGGGCTGAGGTTGAGAAAGCCTGAGTCAAAGCAATGACACAGACCTCAGAGTTGTTGAGAAGATCAAGTGAGATCATCTATCTGTACTGCCTGACACAGAGTGAGCCCCAGATAAATGGGATAAATGGAAGTTTAAAAAGTGGCTGCTAAAGTCATTTCTCCAAAAGGTTATAAGGCCACCAGTCTGGGGTAGTTCTGAAGGAGAGATGCCAGCCGGGAAGAGAAGAAGGCTAACCAGACCTACCCTCTCTAAAGATTCTCCCTCCCACCCTCCCTTTCTTCCTTCTTTTCCTTCCTCCTCCTTCAAATGTTTACTGAGCACCTATTAGCAGCTAGAAATGGGATATAGTAGGGAATAGAACAAAAAGATTGCTGTCCTCATAGAACTTTCATCCTAGTGAATTTCCCACAAATGAATAATATACATTATGATATGCCAAATGGCAAAACAAAATTTTTTTTAATCCTATAAAAAAATAAAGCATGATAAGGGGCATAAACAGGAGTGCTGGGGTGTATGTGTGTAATCGCAGTAGGTGGGAGCAGGCCTTTGAGCAGAGGACTGGAGGACATGCAGGCGGGAGTCCACCAGAGTCAGCGTCCTATTCAGATCCCGGAGCTCCGCTCCTTGTCCAGAGGGCAGCTCCCAGCCCTTCTCAGATGGCCGGGCTGCTCTTGGCCGGGGTTGAGCGGTCCTGCGCCAGCTCCTTCAGTGTGGAGGCTTTCAGGGAGCACGGGGGAGATCAGCTCTGCCTGTCGGCCCGCCCTGAGCTGACCACAAGGGTGTTTGCAAAGGAAGGGTGGGGGGTTTCGCCGATTAGGGTCCATGTGCTCAGGCCCTGGCTTGAAGGAAGCCTGGCTGGGTGCCCAGGGGGTGAGTTGCTGGCTCTTGGTCTGCCTGAAGGGGCCTGGGGCTATTTGTACTCCACCCCAGGTCCTGGCAGCTGACTCAGGGCTGCCTGCCATGGCAGAGGCAAGGCCAGCTTCCAACTTCAGGAGGAGTGTGTCTGCAAGTGGGACCTTTGCCATGGTGGGTGGGGGAGTGAGAACATTAAAAAAAAAAAAGAAAAGATGCCACCTGTAACTACCTTCTTCTCGGGTCCTCAGGGCTTTTCCCCACTGTGCCTCCTTGAATGCCTGGGAGAGATAGTAAGGAAGTAGGATCGACAGGACTGGGTGTCTGTAGGGTGAAGAGATGCAGGGTCTTGAAGCCAGAGAGATGGGGGAGGTCAAAAGTCTTTCCACTTTATCATCACTTGTTTCCATTTAGCAAAAGTCTTTGCTGAGCAGTCCCCGCATGGCCAGCACTGGACTAGACAATGGCATCTGTCTTGTTCCCAGCGGCACCCTACATGCCTAGCACAGAGCTCTACGGATAGTGGGGGTGCAATGAGTACTTGGGGAATAAATATTTGGGGCATGTGGATTATCTGGAAGAGAAAAGACAAATGGCAGGCCACCATCGTCTGGGTCACCTGGGTTGGGTAGCTAAAATTACACATAAGATGAGAGTTTGGAGAGGTGGCTCAGAGAGGAGAGGCAGGGCTGAGGCAGGTGGAGAGAGATCTGGAGGCAGGTCTAGGAAGCGGTGAGGGTGCCTTTCCCTGGAGCCATTGCAACTGATGGTTAGGCCAGGGATTTAGGGCAGAGCCATCACCAAAATGAGGAGACAGGGGGAAGACATGAAGGCTTTCAGAATAGGGAGTGAATGAAGACAAAAGGACTGTTCCTGGCTCCACGCCTCTGCTCATAGTGTTTGCCTTGCTTAGGGATCCCGCCCATCTCCACTCTGCCAATTCCTGGATTCATGCAGTCTCAAGCTTTGGAGGAATCTTTTTTTTTTTTTTTTTTTTTTTAAGACAGAGTCTCACTTTGTAGCCCCATGCTGGAGTGCAGTGGGGTGATCTTGGCTCACTGCAACCTCCGCCTCCCAGGTTCAAGTGAGTCTCAAGTCTCAGCCTCCCAAGAAGCTGGGATTACAGGTGCCCGCCACCATATCTGGCTAATTTTTTAATTTTTTTAGTACAGACAGGGTTTCACCATGTTGGCCAGGCTGGTCTCAAACCTTTGAAGGAATCTTAAAGGTTACCAGGTCCGTCCTCAGCAGCATCCCCTCCAGTTGCTTCTCCACCATCCCCTGGGGTCTGTTGTTCAGAATATGCTTGACATCTCTAGGGATGGGGTGCCCTCTGCCACCCCACATTGCGGAACAGAGATTGCAAAATGTTGACCTGAGGCCATATCTGTCTTTCAGACAGGACTTGTTTAGTTTTCTATGTGTTTAAACAATTTAAACATTATTCTCCAGTATTTAAAAATCAGATTTTACACCCAGAAATATAAATGATTTCTGGCTTATCTTGACATGGAAAGATCTGGCCACACTGGATCCACATTCTCAAATGGCAAGAATTGGCTGAAGCTGAGGAGCAGCTGCCCCTTTAGATGAAGCACATGCTCTGGGGTTTTCTGCTCTCTCCACCTCTTCCTATTAAGCCCACCCTGCTTTCCTCATGTGCATAATCTGCCGGTATCTGTAGCCTTTGGGGCTTATGAATAGGGCAGTCACTGGAATCAGTCAAATGTGAGTGCAAATTCTGACTCTGCCACTTGCCAGCTATGGGTCAGTGACCTGACCTGAGCCCCAATTTTCTCAAGTGTAAAATGGGAATCATAACTCTCACCTCTTGGAGTTGTGAGAATTAAATGCAATGATGTATTTACAGTACCTAGTGGAATATCTGGACGGCATAGGTAATTTATCAATGGCAGCTCTGATTTTTGTTATTATTCCTTTACTCCCTCAATTTATCTGGATTTCAGAGGTCCCTCCTGTGTAGAGTCTTCCTGACTTCCAAAGAGGTGAGGGGAGTTAGTGCCTGGCATTTGTGTGGCCTGGATGTCCAAAGCCCTTTTGCACAGATTCACAGATCACATTTGTGCCGTGCCCTCTGCGCCTCCCTGCTCCCAGCTCCTCGATGCCACTTGCTGTTGTCCTCATTCTGCATTTTCTCCCTGCGTTGCCTTCCTGGTCAGAACTCAGTCCCCCTCCCCATGCCTGGCATAGTGCTGTGGGCAAGGTCTGCAGGCCGCAGGCTTGTCAACACGGAGACCCAGATCTCCCTTTCCAGAGAGGCAGGGGCTGTCATGGGAAAGAGGCTTGGGGTCAGAAAAACCTGGTTTCATTCCAGCGCTGCCACTTTCTACTCCTGCAACTTGGATCAAGTTATTTCTAAGCCTCAATTTACTTGTCTACGAAGTGGAGCTATGAAGACATAGCTCCAGGGTTAGCATGAGAATTAAATGAGAAAATACAGTGCCTGGTGCCAGTTGCTACTTACTGAGGGCCAATCTCTTCTGCTTCCATCTAACTGCTCCAGAACTTGATAAGCTGCTCAAGCAGCTACCATTTTCAAAGCACCTCATTTGTGCTAGGAGGGTTGCTGTCAGCTCCCATCATGCAGTGATGAGTCTGAGCAGCCCCTGCCCTTAGGGAGCTCCAGCAGTGGGTCCAGCACCCTCTTCCTGCTGCACTGTGAGGATTAAGTGCCCCTCCCCAGGGCACAAAGAGGGTTTTGCACAAAGCCTTGGCTTTTCCCAGATGAGAAAGCAGAACAAGGCCAGGAGGCATGGGAAGCGATGGGTGCTCTGGTTGATCATAGGAGCTTCTCTCTCCAGAGGAGCAGGGTGGCAGGATGCCCAGGGTGGTGGGAAAGCCTTACGTCTCCTGTTCTGGAGATGAACAGGGCTTCTTCCTGAGAACTCTGGATGCAGCCCAAAGCCTGCTCTGCCTTCCCTGCAGGCCAATGAGGCCCAGAAGATGAGCGCAGCTCTGCCTTGGGCACGTCTGTACCTGGCAGGACCTTCCTTTCCTTCTCCTTGGAGCCTGGTTGGGGGCACCAGCGATATCTGCCGGGAAATATCCTGGTGGCAGGCATAGGCCAGGAATATGACGGAAAGGCCCATAGAATTTTAAGAAGTTCTGGGAAGAAAACTGGTGTGTTCCGGCAAGTGTTTTGCATTTTTTTGTTTTTCTCTTTGATAGGAAAAGCATGCAGTTGGATTTTTCTTTGGCAGTTCTTTCCTTCTCAAAATATGGAGCTCTGGGAGGGGGCACTACATGGGCCTGGAATCTGTGTGGTCCCTGAGACCTTTGGGAGTGTGTGAGGCAAGAACATGGAATGAGCTTGCAGTTCTGATAGAGTCGCATGTGTCAGGGAGTTATCCTATCAATTAATACAGATAATAATATCATGTATTGTGTGCTTACTACGTGCTGGCACTGTGCTAACCATTATTTTTTAGTATTTACTTATTTGTTTATCTATTTGGGACCAGGCTGGGGTGCAGTGGCCCAATCTCAGCTCACTGCTACCTCCACCTCCCGGGTTCAAGGGATTCTCATGCCTCAGCCTCCCGTGTAGCTGGGATTACAGGCATGAGACATAGCACCTGGCTAATTTTTTATATTTTTTAGTAGAGACGGGGTTTCACCATGTTAGCCAGGCTGGTCTCGAACTCTTGACCTCAAGTGATCCGCCCGGCTTGGCTTCCCAAAATGCTGGGATGTCAGGCATGAGCCACCAAGCCCAGCCTATTTATTATTATTTGTTCCAATTTATTTTTATGGCCGGGCACGGTGGCCTCACGCCTGTAATCCCAGCACTTTGGGAGGCCAAGGCGGGTGGATCATGAGGTCAGGAGATCGAGACCATCAAGGCTAACACAGTGAAACCCCGTCTCTACTAAAAATACAAAAAATTAGCTGGGCGTAGTGGCGGGCGCCTGTGGTCCCAGCTACTCGGGAGGCTGAGGCAGGAGAATGGCGTGAACCCGGAAGGCGGAGCTTGCAGTGAGCTGAGATCGCGCCACTGCACTCCAGCCTGGGCGGCAGAGCGAGACTCTGTCTCAAAAACAAAAACAAAAACAAAACAAAAAATAAAACATTATTTTTATTTATGTATTTATTCAAAAATTTTTTTAGAGTCGAGGTCTTGTTCTGTTACCCAGGCTAGAGTGCAGTGACATGATCATAGCTCACTGCAGATTTAAATTCCTGGGCTCAAGTGATCCTCCTCCCTCAGCCTCCCAAGTAGCTTGAACTACAGGCACATGCCACCATGCCCTGCTCTGTGCTAATCTTTTTACATGCATTATCCCTTTTCATTCACACAACAACAAAGGAAATGTGATCATGCTCATTTTACAGGTGGGAGAACTGGGGATTTCAACAGTTGCGTGGTCCCAGAATGACAGAGTTGGCAAACCAGGTTTGACCCCTGAGACTACACACCTAACGGCTTGGCTAGAACCGTTTTAAAGGCTCAACCACTCAGTGAGGAAACTCAATAATTCTGGTATTTCCTATTTTGAGATTCAAAATGATAAAGTAATTTGCTAAAGCCATACAAAGGAATGCTTTGTAGGATTGCTCTGATTCCTACCTTCTTGGGGAATAACTATTGGGAAGCAGATCAAGCTGCATTTGAAGAAGTAACTAGATGAGTGCTCCCATTTATTTCTTGTTTTAAGGGTTTCAGTGGTTCCTGTTTGCCCGAGGCAAAAAACAGAGCTCCTTGGAGTGCCCTTCACAATTGCCACAATCCAATGTACTTTCTGCACTCGCCCCTGTCGATTGCACTTTATGCTCACACTCCAGCTTCATGGAAAAGGTGATTCTACCTTTGTGTCCCGGGGCAGGCTCATAAGACACACTGCACATTGCAATGACCTGCATCTCTTCTCATATACACGCATAACAGAGAAGTCAACAGAGGACTCAACTCCTTCAGGGAAGAAACCAACTGAGTCATATTTGCTTCTTCATTCTGATCCCAGCACAGAGCCTGGCACAGAAAACGCATGCTCCATGCATATGTAGAGAACACATAAATGAATGAATGAATCAAAGAGTGTGTGTGTGAGAGAGAATGAATGAATGGGATGAATGAATGAGGATGGAGTAGCCCTCCTCTTTCAACACCATTTCTAATACCAAACCAGGCCAGAGACTTTTGCCATCTGCAACTATAGACTCCAGGAGAGTGAGGTCAGGAGAGGAGAGGTGACAGCTGAAAGCCTTTGTTTCATCTCGGAAAGGTAACAGTGAAAATTTGCATCCCGAGTTACAGTTCATAAACCACACCAGCAGGCCTCATCTTATTTCTCTTCATAAAGGAGAAGGAAGCTAAGATAAAGTGTATAAACTTCAGGCTCCAAGAGGGTGCTGAGCAGAGGGGATGCTCCATTTCTTCCCAGCTCAGGACACCCATGTGGTGTGGGAAAGACATCTCTGTAATCCAGGGAAACAGCCAGGGGTGGAGCCAAAAATTAAAGTGGGCAGGAGAACTTGTGGGTAGTTGGAGAGAAGGGAGAAGATGTCCAGAACTTGGCTTGAATCTCTCCCATGTGCCAGCTTTTGAGTGTGGAGTTTTACTTATAATCTTTCATGAGTCTTCAAAACCATCTCATGACTCCTCAAAACCATCTCATGAGGAAAGGATTACAGTTGACCTTTGAACCACATGGGTTCGAGCTGCGCACATCCCTCTGCCCACACTTGTATGTGAATTTTCTTCTGTCTCTGCCACCAAGAGACAGCAAGACTAACCCCTCCTCTTCCTCCTCCCTTCTCAGCCTACTCAATGTGAAGACAATAAGGATGAAGACCTGTAAGATGCTCCACTTCCACTCAGTCAATAGTCAATATATTTTGTTTTCCTTATGATTTTCTTAATAATGTTTTCTTTTCTCTTGCTTATTTTACCGCAAGAATATCGTATTTAATACATATAAAATACAAAATATGTTTTAATTGGCTGTTTATGTTATTGGTAAGGCTTCTGGTCAACAGTGGGCTATTAGTAGTTACGTTTTTGGGGAGTCAAAAATTATACAGATTTTTGACTGGTGCCCCTAACACCTATGTTGTTCAACGGTCAATGATCTTTTAGATAGTGCTCACCGTGAAAGGAAAATAAATCTTGGCACCCCAAACTCACCAAGCCGAAGGCAAAAGTTAAGCTGGGAACTGGGTCATGCAAACCTGCCTCCAAGTTTTGTTCCTAAATAAGATGGATACAAAGATGAAAAGCTACATAAAGATGAAAAGCTACAAGGAAATTCCCGGTGGGCCCCAAGATCTTTACCCTAAAGCATTTCTGTTAAAGCTCAACACGGCAATTTATTAATAAATAGATAGTTTATCTTCACAGGTGTGGCAACACAGGATAGAACTATAAGTCATCCCTCTACCCACCTGAAACCAGTGCATATCTGATTGTTTCCTCTGCCCTATTGCCTAGGTTATCTTACATAAAAATGCAGATTCACTGAGCCAGACTAAGGCATGAATGACTGTTTTCCCCTCCCTGCCTCTCACATGAAAATTGTGTATTTCTCAATTTCCCACCCTTTCTTCTTTAAATATTGAAGACCTCAAAATCATCTTTGGAGAAAGGCATAGACCTATCTCTTGAGTATCTTTTTTTTTTCTTTTGGAGACGGAGCCTTCCTCTGTCGCCCAGGCTGGAGTGCAGTGGCATGATCTTGGCTCACTGCAATCTCCACCTCCCTGGTTCCAGTGATTCTCCTGCCTCAGCCTCCCAAGTAGTTGGGATTACAGGCGTCCACCACCATGCCTGGCTAATTTTTATAGTTTTAGTAGAAACGGGGTTTCACCATGTTGACCTGGCTGGCTTGGAACTCCTGATCTCAGGTGATCCGCCCGCCTCAGCCTCCCAAAGTGCTGGGATTACAGGCATGAGCCACCGCGCCCAGCCTGGGTATCCTTAACTTAGGCAAATAAACCCCTAAAATGACTGAGACTTGTCTCAGTCACTTTCCTTGATTGACATCACTCACACATGAGGTGATTGAAAATCTAAAGGTTTAAGTGATTTTCTACCTGAAAATGTAAAAAAAGGGGTTACATTCAGAGCTGTCTGACTCGAAGCTGCTTGTTTCTAATTCTCCGTGGCTCCCTTGTGTGCCCTTGGTGATGGATGAATTAATCCAACCAATTCTTTCTTTGATTCTACTGCATGGAGACACAAAGATAGAGAAGGCCTGCTGGTGACTGACAGTGTTTGTGTGCTGGGAATGGAGAGTTGTGGAAGATGGATAGGTAAACAGATTTTCCTTACAAGGTGCCAGCCATAAGCAAAACAGGATGTGGGAGCACTGGGTGGAAACACAGAGCAACTTAGCCTGGGATGTTGTTGAAGCCTTCATGGAGGAAGTGATGATGATGTGGGTCCTTTCAGGAAGCTTAATGATGAGCCAAGCACCATGCTGGGCAAAGTGCTCTCCCAGGCTAGTGAGGAAAATGAGGGAATGAGAAAGGAGGATGAGGAGGGCTTTGAGGGTGATGAGTCAGATGCAGGCACAGCCTTGGTAGTGGGTTTTAGTCCGTGCTCTGAGATGCCCAGTTTTTCATGAGAAAGAAAAGCATGTATGCCCACCCAGAAGAATGATTGTTAAGACAGGCTAAGAATATTGAGAGCAGAATGCACAGCCAACGCAAACTTGGCTGTATGCTCTTCTTTCTATGGGGATTTCTCTCCCTTTCTCTGCCTGTCATTCAGTGAGCAGAACAGAAATGTGTTCAGGCACAGGAGGAGGATGAACTGCACACCAATTGAAGGGAACAGTATGGGGTAGAGCAGAGTAGCACAAAACAGCATGCACATTGTGAGTTTGTGTAAGTTAGCTTTTGCTGTATAACAAACCAACTCAAAGCTTAGTGACTTAACCAATATTTATCATTTTTTAGAATGATTTTTTGGGTTGAGTGAGTGATTCTCATGGTCTAAGTGAGCTTAGTTGTTGCTGGAAGTTGTGGATGGTGTTACCCACATGTTTGGGGTCAGCTGAGATCTCTTTCCACATGGGCCTTATCCTCAAGGAGTCTAGCTAAGGTTAGTAAACATAGTGGCTGGAGGGGCTTGCAGAAAGAAAGAGCTTTCAAGCTTTTGCTTGCTTCACATTTGCTAATGGTCCCATTGGCCAAAGACAGTTTCATGGCCTACTGAGATTCAAGGGGCAGAGAAATATGTTCCACTTCTTAATATAAGGAGCCGCAACTCACACTACAGGTATGGGAAGGATTTACGGGTGGGAAATCCAGTGTTCTTGCTGCATATGGTGATGGTAGAGAAGAGGAAACCAAAGAAACAAAGGCACATCCTGATGGGCCTTGAATGCCAAGTGAAGGGCTTCAACTTTATTTTGTAAGCATTGAGGGTTCCTGAAAAGATTTAAGCAGGCCAGCTTTGGATTTAAAAAGCCCATTCCAGTGGCTATAAGAAGGTTGGATTGGAAAAAGGTAAAATTCAAGGAAAAGGACCCATTAGGCCATCCATATTTCAGGAACAGGGGGTCAAGGCCTGAACCAAGACTGTCACTGAGCTCTTTGAAAGCAGGGCCATAAGTTCCTCATGTTTTTAGCCCATGTGTAGCACAGTGCCTGGTCTCGAGTTGGCATTCACCAAATGCTCAAATGAATGTTATACGGAGAGCAGAGTGTGGACTGCCAGATGGTTTGGAGGTCAGATGACCAGGGCTTTCCTGATAGTCAACAACAGGAAGAAGAACGAGATGGGTGTGAGTGTTCAGAAATTTGTTCGTGTCAGCTGAGGAGGTGAAGGCTGGGTGCAGAGTCAGAAGCCAGTTACAAGGACTTGAGATGCACATCTCTCTGTCCATCCTCTGTCATCTCCTTCATGTCAAGGACACTCTCTGACATGAACTTGGGCAACTCTCTTCGTTCACCAGGGCCTCTGTTTCCAAATTCTTTAAAACAGAGATGGTAACTCCAGGACCCTGGCAATGCCAGTAATATACTCTGAAGAGAAACTATGAGAGAACCCCACTTAAAGGGTGGACATCACTGGTGCTCTCTCATTAAGGTTGAGCATTATTGGACAAACCTACCCACATGAAGGTCAGGCTGGGAGGACTGGAGCAGGTTCTTTTTTTTTAGTGAAGAAATTTTCCATTGGGAGCTTCATGGAAATGATGCTTAATGCCTTTACCACTCTGCCTTTCCAAAGGATGTTAGTCTCCCTCGTGAGAGAATCTATGTAATGTACTGGTGACGTAGGCATCATCAAGGCCTATTATGTCCATTTCCCAGATGACGGACATCCCATTGGAGATGGCAGTGATTGGCAGAAAAATTACAGGCAAAGGCTAGGTCAGAACTCTGAAGCCTGAATTCTGCCCTGAAGGTCATGGCTCTTCTCCAGCAGTAGCTCCAATACAGGCTTCTCAAGTTTACCCAACTCTAGCGCTAACCAGCTCTTCAGAGTCCTTTCTCTCCAATAGTCATCTTTGTGTAAAGAGCCAAAAAGCAAATGTTCCAATTAATGAAAAGGCTCTTCTATAATAGGATTTGTATGAGATCAAAAGGGTTTCTAACTGGGACAGACCTGCAAGCTTGGAGTGCTGTGCTTTTCCAGCATGTGCTGTAATTAATACATACACTGAACATTACATATAATCTGCATATTATTGACCCAATGCACAATTCATATGGTAATGCCATTAATTGCATATTACCTAGGCGGCTTAATGAACATTACATAGGTTTTTAATGGATGTAGTTACTATAATTGAGTTCAATTATATCCCTGCCATGCATATGAGGTCAATAGACTAGCTCGACCCCACAGGGTCTGGGAGAAAGGAAACAGGTGTTTGTAGTGAGGGCAATTTGTGAGCTGGAGCAGAGAGAAGGGAGAGGCCAAGGGCCAGAGATGACTTGCTTGGCTGGGCCCTTTTTAGGGCCCGGATAGTGGTACACAAAGCTGGGTAAACAGCAGGCAGTCTATGCACAAAGGCAGGATCTCCTGCTTGCCCCTCTGCTGTGGGTTTGGAACAGGGCACCAGACTGGAGCCCTGAAGCCAGCCACGCCCACGCTGTAACAGGACACTTTCTTCTACGCTGACCCAAAGCCAATGGGCAGTTGCATCACTTCCTCTGGCAGAGTGGAGGCCACATGATTCTAGCATCTGGGCTTGCCAGGGATGCAGGGGAGCCCTGCCTGTCCATGATGCTGGCGCAGAAGGCCCTGAGCCTGGTGTTGCTTCTTTTCTCCAAATTCTATGTCTGGAGTGGAAGAGGCAAAGCTGCTGCTCCCATATTCTGGGTGCTCACACCCTCTAAAAGAGATAACCCCATGTGGACAGAGAACTAGGGAGTGAAGAGGCATCAGAGTTCCTCATACTTCCCTTCCTAAAAAAGAGAAAGGTGACTCAGAGATGACAAACACCTGCCATAAACTAGGCACTGCTGATGTTACCTACTTTACCCTCCACTGGATTTCTCCCATTTGGTTAAAGTGATACTAAATCTTCAGAGAGGTTAGAAATTTTCCCAAGGACACACACACACACACACACACACATACACATGCACACACAACACAACACAACACAACACACACAGAACTTGTTGAAGGTGGGGTCAGAATTTGAACTCAGGTCAGTCTCACCCCAAAGTTTACAGCACCCAATTACTCCAGGCTGCTTTGTTGCAACTTTGCTGTGTTCCTAGTTTTGAAGGCCACTCCAGAAGGGGTAAAATAATGATGAAAAGGAAAGTTTGATGCAGATATCAGGATAGAAAGAAAAGAAGAAAATGAATGATTTTTTTTAAAATCACAGAGAGAGAATTTGATTTTTCCAGTAACCTTCTTGCAAAGTATACATTTGCATGTCTCTTTTTCTGCCTGTCTTTCCACTCTCATTGACCGCTGATTTGCTAAGTTGGGCTGGCCAGGAATACACTTTCTATTTAGAAAGCAAATGCGGCCAGATTTGGGCCCCGGCCTAGGAGCTGACTCACTTTTGCTGGGATGACACATTCACTGCGCATGTTTCACAATTTTCAGAAACACCAGATTTATTTCTGTCAATACCCAGAGCCCCACTTCGCTGTCCACCTAAGGCCACACACTGAGGCGTTGCTATTTTTTTCCCTGGGGCCTAAATGGATGGGAAGACTTCCCATGCCTGAAACATCACCCTCATTTGTAAGGAGAGAAAGTCTGGCCAAGAATTGCAGTGTTTTTAACCAGAATTTGGCTGGCTTTCAATAGCTTTATGCCAAAGCTGTACCAGCCAGAGAGATGGCTGTGAGTGTGTGTGTGTGTGTGTGTGTGGAGGCGGGGGGGGGGGGGGTGAGGCTTGAAAACAAGGCAAAAAAGGAAGGAAAAAAAAACACGCAGACAGCAGAGAGGAAAGGAGAGAATAGGAGAGAATGAGGGTTGATTAAGTTTGGCAAGGAAGAAAAGAGAAGGAAGAGAGGGAGTTTAAAAAGAGAAAGGCAGCAAGAGAAATAACAAAGGAAGAATCAGGAGAGAGAAGGAGAGATTAACTTACTTTAACTAATCAACTACTATGAGAATGCCAAGCATTGTTGGGGATGCTTCTGCACACCACCTCATCTAATTCTCACAACCACCTTGTGGGTACACATAATGAAGCTTCATTGTTATTAATAAAGAAGTAGGGGGCTCAGGAAGTTGGAACCCTTTGCCCTGAGGCTATACTGATAATACAGGGCAGAGGGATTTGGACCTCCCATCTCTGACTTTTAAAAGCTTGGAGGACTCTGCTTGCCATCAGGGAGCTTCATGGGAGGCCCTGTGATCTGGATGGTCCGTGACAGTCTCCTCTAAGGGGGTTGTTTACACACTTAGACACTAAGAGCTTAAGACTTGAAGGGACTGCTACATATACAAAGCTCTGGATTCAGAGCTATCTGGAAACTTTCTCCAGGGTAAATAAAAACAACCACTTCAACAATGTTGCCAATGAATCTCTCTCCAAAAAAGAAAAGGAAAGGAAAAGGGAAAGTGATGCTATTTTTTCCCCCTCCAAAGTAAAGGTTACAACAACATTTTCTTTGAGCTGATGTGAGAGCAGCCAGCAGACATTTCTTTGGTAACCATCTCCATGTGTCTGTGTGGAAAGTACCTTGCAGTGACTAAGCGTTCGTTGAGGTGATTCACTTGTCACTGCGCTTGGGGACTTTGGACTAGTCCTGGCAGCTGCAAAGTTATTTTCATCGGCTTCTGACCCAGGCCCTCCCTGCAGGGCACAGGTGCCTGAGAATGTACCCCTGTCTCTGCTCACAAGGTGAGCAAGGGGGGCTGGAAGACAAGCTCTCTCTGGACTCCTGGCAAGACTTCTAGAAAGTCCTAGCTGCTAATTTCCTTGGCAGCCTAGGAGTCAAGGGTCTGAGGCAGCACTCAGGGCTTGAAATGAAATGAAGCTCATTTACTGAGCATCTAGGATATGCCAGAAGTTTTCTCTTCATTTGTCTCATTCTTCCTCACAGTAATCCAAATAAATGTTTTCTTTTGTCATTGAAACGGAGACCCTAACAGAGCAAGAGGCCTGACCTTCACACCTATGTAACCCAAGGTCACAGAAATGCTGAGGGGCCATGTGACTCCAGTGAAGCAGGAGTATCCATCCAGCCACAGAGATGGGACCTGTCCAAATGGGACCTGTCTGTTCCAAAGGTTATTCTGCTTGGTAAGTCTGTTTAGATTGCAATATTTTATTAAAATTATATACACATAGAAAAGGGCACCTAGAAGTATACAGGTTGATAAATGTTCACAACCTGAATAGAGCCTATAATTAACACCCAAATCAAAAAGCAGAACATTCCCTCTGGTCACCTGTCTCCAAGATGACTGCCATCAGTTCATTTCCTCCAAGTATATTAATGTCCTTTTCCTGGAGAAGTGGAATTCTTCCTCTTTTCCCCTTGAATTTGGACTGGCTTTAATGACTTCTTTGACCATAGAATGAAGCGGAAATGTTGCTAGGGCTAGATCATAAAAAACCTTGCAGCTTCTCCCTGGGTCTCTTGGAAACCCTCTCCAGGAGCTCTGAAATACTACATAAGAGGTCCAGCTACTCTGAGACTGCCATGTTGGAGAGGCCACATATAGGCACTCCTGTTGACAGTTCCAGTGGAACCCAGACTTCTGGTGATCCCTGACAAAGCAGGAAATTTGTTAGGAGAGTTTTCTTGGACCCTGCAAAGCAGCCCATTTGCCAGCTAAAGACCACTGAGTGACCCCTGTCAAAACCACATGGAGCAAAAGAATCACCCACCTGAGCCCTGACCAAACTTCTGACCCACAAAATCATGAGATATAATGAAATGATTGTTGTTTTAAGCCCCTAAGTTTTGGGGGTAATTTATTAGGCAGTGATAAGAAAAGTAAATATAATCCACCAGCGCAGAAGCCCCCAGTTGACCCTTTCCAGTTATTATGCTCCCTTCAATGGTAACCATGTGTCAACTTCCTCTACCATAGATTGGTTCTGCCTGTTTTTATGGCTTCTATCAATGGAATCATACAATATCTTCTTTTTTTGTGAGCCTGGCTTCTTTGGCTCAATATTATTTTATAAAATTCTTCCCTAATGTTGCATGTAGCTGCAGATTCTCATTCTCATCATTGTAGTCCAATGTGTGACTATATTAATTTATCCATTCTATTATTGATAGACATTTGAGTTGTTTCCAGCTTTTGGCTATTATGAATAACATCGCTATGAACATTTCAGTGTGTGTGCATTTCTGTTTGATATATACATGTGTCTCCATATATATACATGGAGAGAGAGAGATGGGGGTGTGTGTGTGTGTAGATATGTATATAGCTGTGTGTCCACCTATATACATACCTATATCCATCTATATCTGTATCTATATCTATATCTATATCTATATCTATATCTATATATACACACACACACCCCACAGTGTTATAGGTCTCATATATATTAGGTTGGTGTAAAAGTAATTGTGGTTTTTGCCATGACTTTTTTCTCTCTCTCTCTGTCTGTGTATATATATATATATATACATATATATATATACACACACACACACATACACACACACACATACACATTACTTACAAGGTTTTAAACACTTTATTCCCCAGCAATTCCTCTCCTGGGGGTGGTGTGTATGTGTGTGTATATAGGTGTATGATATAGTTTGGCTGTGTTCCCACCCAAATCTCATCTTGAATTATATTTCCCATCATCCCCATGTGTCATGGGAGGGACCTAGTGGGAGGTAATTGAATTATGAGAGTAGTTACCCCCATGCTGCTGTTCTTGTGATAGTGAGTTAGTTCTCATGAGATCTGATGATTTTATAAGGGCCTTTTCCGCCTTTTGCTTGGCACTTCTCCTTGCTGCCACCATGTGAAGAAGGACATGTTTGCTTCCCCTTCCATCATGATTGTAAGTTTCCTGAGGCTTCCCCAGCCATGCTGAACTGTGAGTCAATTAAACCTCTTTCCTTTATAAATTACCCCGTCTCAGGTATGTCTTTATTAGCAGCAGGAGAACAGACTAATACTATGTATATAGGTATGCATATAGGTGTGTGTCCAACTATATACATACCTATGTACACCTATATATATATATACACACACACACCTCCCCAGTCTTATAGGTCTCATATACATATACACACACACATATATATAGGTCTTCTAGGGTATGTGTACACACACACACACACACACACATTACTTACAAAGTTATAAGTACTTTATTCCCTAGCAATTCCTCTCCTACGGTGTGTGTGTGTATATATACACAGGTTTTCAAAATTGTTGTACTTGGTTTATATGCTTCTCAACCGTGTTTGATGGTTGCTCCATATTCTCCTTAGAACTAGCTGTTTTCTGTCTTTTTCTTTTGTTTTCTTTTCTTTTTCTTTTTTTTGAGACGGAGTTTCACTCTTGTTGCCCAGGCTGGAGTGCAATGGCATGATCTCAGCTCACTGCAACCTTTCCCTCCCAGGTTCTAGCAGTTCCCCTGCCTCAGCCTCCCCAGTAGCTGGGATTACAGGCATGCGCCACCACACCCGGCTAATTTTGTATTTTTAGTAGAGACGGGGTTTCTCCATGTTGGTCAGGCTGGTCTCAAACTCCTGACCTCAGGTGATCTGTCTGCCTCGGCCTCCCAAAGTGCTGGGATTGCAGGCGTGAGCCACTGTGCCCAAACTGTCTTTTTCATTTTGCGTTTGAGGATCTTGTACAATTAGCTAGCACACAACAAATAACAGGGCTGTCCACCTGCCAACATGGCATCTGAGACATGCAAGCTAAATGCAGAAAAATTGAGTTCCCTTGACACAGATGGGCTCCTTCCATGAAAGGGAAAGAATATTATAATTATTTGTTCATATCCAAGAAGAAGGTAGCTGGGTTCAGCTTTCACTGCCTTATTCTTCTGGAGAGTTTCTGTTTTGTAAGTCAGGCTCACTGAAGATGTGATAGAGGAAGTGATTGAGATTCTGATTATTTTCTTCATTCTTGGGCCCTGAGTCATCTCCAGGCCATGGGGCATTTGGGAAAAGGTGAGGCGGAACATGGCAGTTGGGTTTATTTTAGGGCAATCAGATGGCTGGGTCATAAAAACCTGTTCAGGGGACTTGAAAATTCACTCTGCCGCATGCTCCATGACTCATACATTTTTGCTTCCTAATTGATGTGACAAGACATCCGGGCACACTAAACTCAATATTACAAGGAAAAAAACAAGAGCGTGACTGATTTGGGTAGATGTATTGAGCTTATGGCAGCTGAAAAAAGTACTGTCCTCGTGTGACTAAATTTTCTTAAATCCAGTCGAATCACAGATTTTGAAAAATGGCAGAAACTTGGCATGATGGTTAGTTTTTTGTGTCAGCTCAGTTATTTAAGCAAACACTAATCTAGACGTTGCTGTGAAGGTATTTTGAAGAGGTAAAGGAAATCACTTGTCCTTAAGTAAAGGAAAGAACTGGGCCTCATTTAATCAGTTGAAGGCGTTAAGAGCAAAACTTGAATTTTCCTGGAGAAGACAAAATTCTGACTCAAGACTGCAGCATCAATTCTTGGCTGAGTTTCCAGTCTGCCAGCCTAGCCTATGGATTTCAGACCTGCTAGCCTCACAATTCAATGAGGCAAATGAGATATGTACGTGTGTATACACATACAAATACACACATACATGCATATATACATATATGTATATATACATGTGTGTATATACATACACACATAGATGGAGGAGTGGATAGATAGATTAATAGATAAATAGATGGATAGTTAGATACTATTGGTCTTCTTTCTCTGGAGAACCTTGACTGATATATATGATATAAATGAAATGAAACAATCCAGAAAAAATTTTCAGATTTTGATCAAAGGACAGGCCATCCTGTTGCTATGATGTGCTTGGAATGGGCGCCTGAGGGTAGGTATGATTATCAAGCACCTTCCCTGCTTAGCCTGACTCAATTGTAGAAAAATGAAGCTGAAAAACACACTATGGCTACTCATGAAAAGTTCTGGATGGTAAGTTGAGATTTCTGTTGAATCCTATGGCCAAATTCTAGATCATGTTTAGCCCTATCTGGTTCTATAGAAATCCTTCTTTCATGATTGACTGGCTACAGGTGAAAACAACACTCTTTGATGTAATTAGGAATTAACCTGGAGGAGTCCTCCATGAATACCTGTTCTTTCCAAACCCATTCTGTCTGAACACATCAATATTCTCACCAACTTAGACTGAGCACGGACCAGCACAAGACTTACACTCAGGGAAATCTGTTTTGTCTTTTCATAAATAAAGTCAATTAAGTAATTCTTAAAAACAATTTTTTTTTTTTGAGACAAAGTCTGACTCTGTAGCCCAGGCTGGAGTGCAGTGGCACAATCTCAGCTCACTGCACCTCTGCCTCCCGGGTTCAAGTGATTCTCCTGCCTCAGACTCCCAAGTAGCTGGGATTACAGGTGTGTGCTGCCACACCCAGCTAATTTTTGTATTTATAGTAGAGATGGAGTTTCACCATGTTGGCCAGGCTGGTCTGGAACTCCAGGCCTCAAGTGATACACCTGCCTCGGCCTCCCAAAGTGCTGGGATTAGAGGTGTAAGCCAATGTGCCTGGCCAAAAACAACTTTTATATTATTGAGTTGAAAAATAATCTTATATCTGAATAGTTAACTGATTTATCATTAGGGCCCCCATATGTGGATTTCTGTGTGATGGCAAAACAAAGACAAACTAACCCACTTTGAATGTTTTTCCACTAGACCTTGCTATCTCAGGATTCTAATAACTCTCTGTACAACCTTGGATGGGTCACTTAGCCCTTCGACACTTAAGTTTAATTTAAAACTTAAGTCTCTGCCAGAGCAGAAAGGAGCTTAACAGGTCACCTAATTTTGACATTCACAGAATGAAATAAGTGTCTCACAGCAGATTTCCTCATAGAAATAGAAAGCATCAACATTTTTAAGAGATCCACCCATAGGCCAGTCCCTGTTTTCACAGATGCTATGTCTTATGTCATGGACTCCAATGCTTCTAGCTCTCTGTAGAAAAATTGACAACCGTCATCTGCAATTTTGATACTGAACTCTGGGTAAGCCCAGTTTTGCCCATTGTTTGCCTTCCTTGGAGAGATTTTATACACAAATCAATATTGAAGGACTTTAAACATCCTGTAATGTGCATATGTATCCACATGTACCCACGTAAGTAAGACACATCTGTAGAAATCAGGAGGACCCTCTTGCTACAGAACCAAGACCAAGGGCCCTTTTTAGAGAGACTTGGGAGGCTGTCTACTTCAAAAGCATTATCACTAGTCCCATGGCTCCAGGTGCTCCCCTGTTAATACATTCTTCTCCTGCAGCCAGGGTGAGATTCTAATATTCCATAGCATCACGTCCCTCCTGCAGAACCTACAAAGGCTCCCATTTCCCACTAAATAAAACCCAAACTCCCTAGTCAGACATACATGGTGCCCCGTAATGTAGCCCTGCTCCTCTTGCCCTCTGTACCCTCACCATCCCCATCTCATCCGCAACTTCCCAGGAACACACAGAATGAAGCTCTCCCTTCCCTGAATATGCCAGACTTCCCCTAATGTCCATGTCCATGCTATTGCCCTTGACTTTGCCCTTCTCATCCCTTCTACCTGGGAAAATATATTTTAAAAGCTAGCTCAAGTATCACTTCCTCATTAAATCCTTCCAAGATTTCCTGGGAAGATTATTTTTCCGTTAACTCACTCCTATAGCAGATTTCATGGATTTCAGTGATGGCCCTGATTATATAGGATTGAATTAGTTTTTTTGTGTTTGTTTGTTTGTTTGTTTGTTTAACATTAGCTTCCCCCTCTAGACTGTGAGCTCACGGACGGTAGAGGCTGAGGCTTGTTTCTGTTAATAGTTGTGTCCCCATCACCCAGCCCAGAACCTGGCACGGATTATTGTGGGTACAACTCAGAGTTCTAGTTGAGGTGTAAATGAATTATAAACATATAAAGAGGTACACAGCACTGAAAATAAGAAGGATGGCTATATTTCTGAAGGCACTTATACTCTAGAGGATAAACAGACACAAAGTTGATACCACATTGACGTCCAGGTGGAGCATGTGATGGCTAATGGCTCTGGTGCCTGCTCTTCCTTGGCCAGGCTGTTGGGGAAACTCATGCTGATGTGAAGTTGCCTCTCTGAGCTATCCCCTATGGAGGTTGGTGGTCCTGGGGACTCTGCAGGTCCATAAAACCAATCTGTGAGCAAGACACCTTTGTGATTTTAAGCCACTGAGATTATTGGTGGTTCTCTGTTACTGGAGTATAACCCAACCTATGGTAACTAATATCCAACTCATGGCGCCATTCTTCTTAAGGACAGGAAAAGAGTCCTGGCTTGAAATGCAGGTTTATGCTTTGGGAAAACAAGTCCTGTTTTGAGATTTCCAGCTGTCCTGTTTTTCAACATGGCAGCCAGAATCTGCATCTTGGAGCCAGGTACTGTGTCCATTCTTGCCTAAGAGAGCATCCATTGGAAGTTCCCCTTTCAGCGTCATTGTGGATGCTATCCAGGGAGGTAAGATCTGGCTGAGATCTGTGTGAAGGGCTCTGCCCTTGGCCAAGAGTCCTCCTGTTTTCTGCCCTTGAACTAAAGGCCAGGAAGCCTCCTGTTTCCTGGACTCCCTCCTGAGTCCCAGGCCTGGATTATGGAAGAAGGCTGAGAGTAAGACATCAAGGTCAACACCCAAGGTGGTGATGAGTAATCTTGTTTGACCTGGAGTGTCAGTGAAATGGCTCCACTCTCCATTTCTCCCTAGCTGTGCAGAGGTGGCCCCACTGGGGCATGTGTGTGTTTTCTCAAAACCATTCTCTGAGACTGGTTTCATAGTTCCATTTTACCAACTGAAAACTGATGGGCAGAGAGTCTAAGGAATTCAAACCAATGTCACAGCTATTTGGTGATACAGCCTGAATTCAAAAGGGGGTATTTTAGTTTTTCGAGCTTTGGTTATTTCTACTACCACACAGTTGTAGAAGTGAGTTTCAATGAACATGTATCGGGAACCTCTCTGTGGCAGGCATTGTGTGAACACCGGGCATGAATGTGAGCAAAGGTCAGTATCTACCCACGAAGAAGTTTCAATTTTGTTGGGGACCCAGGCACATAAATGAGTGATTATAGCAGACTCAAAAATGCCACATGTAAAGAACACTGGGGAAGAACCATCAGGGACGGCTTCCTGAAACAGGGACCATGGGGCTGAGACCTGAAGTGTGAGGGGGGATGTTCTGGGCAGTGACAGGGGAGCAAAAAGAATTCTAAGCAGAGACTCTGGTACATACAAAGGCACTGAGGTGTAAGACAGAGGGACTTGACAGGGAACTGAAAGCCTAGTTGGTGTGATAAAGAAGTGGTAGGCAGGGAATTTACAATCATCTGCAAGCAACCTACAGCTCTCTGAAATTTGTGGGGGCCTTGAATAATTTAGATAATTGTAACACGTCTTCCCTTGGCTTGACATCAAAGCCACCTCTTCCCAGCAGCTCCTGAAGTTGCTGAGGATGCTGGCTCAGGGCCATTTATCACCACCCTGGCTGGACTGGTAGCTGGAGTGGTGGCAGGCCTGCCGCGAGGCCCATGAGGCAGTGACGACAGTGCCCTGCAGGTACAGGTACTAAATGCATTCCAGGTAGGGCAGTGCTACAGCCTGACAACCTCCCAGGGGCCTCCACTGAAGGCAACAACAACACTTTTAGAGGAGAAGGTAATTAGCTTTGTTTGGCGAGACTTCCACGGATTCTGTGCTGTGCTAGTTACTAAATATTGTCTCATTTGATTCTCAATCATCCCAAGTAGAGGGCTTTCTCCTTCTCGTTTTATAGGAGAAATTTGGCTTCTCAGGGTTTTGCACACCTTGTCCTGGGTTACACGGCTGGGATTCAAATCCAAGCTTTTTCATATCTTTCCCTCACCCAGTACTGCTTCTGTGAATTCTGGTTGTGGATTTTAACTAGAATCACAATGGAGAGAAATCGCCTCTAAAATGGGCATATTGAATATTCCCTACATTTCATACAAAACGAAACTCATTCTTGGACCCCTTTGGTGGGCCTTGGCTTTTCCTGACCTGTTTTCCTGGGGGACTGGCTGGCCTGGTCATTTTCGGCAGTCTCTGTGCTGGGTCAGGCCATGCTGCCTTGGTGGCTCCTTCCTGCCTGAGGAACTATGGGGCCAGAAATGGTAACTCCTACTTATTTTTAATCCTGGCCTTTAACCCAAGAAAGTCACCACTGGCTTTTGGAACAGGCTTCCCCCAGAATAAAGGGAGGAGGAGATTAACGATTCAAATGGGGAAGTGGTTCAGCAAGGAGGAGAGCGGGGAGGAGCAGGGTTCCTGAGACCCACAGGGGTCTCAGGAAGCCTGGCTGGAAGAGGAATCCCAGAGGAAAACTCAGAGCATGCAGGAGGCTGGCAGTGTGCAAGGCCAGGGCGCAAAACGTGGGTGTGGCTTCTAGGGTAAGGGAGCAGGGAGAGGATGAAGGGGTAGGAGGCTGGGATTGGAGCCCTAGGAATAGGAAGTCGGTGAGGGAACGGTGCCTGGGGTGTGTTTTGGTTCTGCTTTCAGAACTAGAGCAGTGGTTTGGCTGCAACATTCAAAGACCTGAAAATATGGAAGCAGACTTTGGGGAAGAGGACTACTGAGAATAGCAGTAGTGAATACGGGAAGTGCTGAGCCCAGGGCTCCACGGAGAAGCTGTGGCTTCTTTCCGGAGCCTGTCAGTCTACAAGAAGAGGACGTCCGGTTCCAAACTGTTCCAGGCCTGCTAGGGTCATCCAGCTGGTTCCCTCTGTCTTTTGCTGAACGTCCTCACTCCAAACTTGCCCACATCAGCTTAATATACTTTGCAAACCTGAAGAGGACATAAAAGAAAAGTTGCTGTTAATTAAATTAATTGTGTATTTATTCAGCATGATTTGTTGAGACCTAATCTGTACCAAGTCTTGGAATTTAGAGATGAACTGAAACTCACTGCTTGATGCAATTATATAATATGGTGTGACTGGCAGTATAAAGATGCACATTCCCAGAGCTATGGAGCCCAGAGAGGGGAGAGGCTGAGCAGGCTCCGGGAGAGTAAAGGTCATTTTCCCAATAAGTTTGCAAAGATATGTACACCAACTTGACCAAGAGGAAAGCAAAGTTCAGGCCAGGCAGAGAGGCTACCTGTGCTGAAAGGAGGAAAGGAGACGAAAGTGTTTGGCATCATTGGGAAAGAGCCAGGATTGGGCAAAGATGAGGCCAGGAATATAACAGGGATGGGGGGCATGAATTGCAGGCTATAGAACTTGGATTTTATTCCATAGGCACTGAGAACTAAGGAAGGTTTTTATGTAAAAGGTAAATGGAATCTTAATACTATATTTCAGGATACCAAATTTAGCATGATTATGATGAATGATAATATTAATTATTGTAAATGATAGTGGTGATAAAAATACAAATAAATCCATCCATCGTAGGTCAAAAATGATGGGCTATTACTCTCATGATCATATTGCACTATATATGACTCCATCTTAGTGGACTGAAGCAGGAGATTCTCCTGCTGGCTTTGAAGAAACAAATTGCCATGTGGTGACCTGCTTATGGAGAGGTCCATGTGGCAGGGAACTGCGGGTCGTCTCTAGGACCTGTGGTTGGCCTCCAGAAAACAGCCAATAAAAACAGCATCTTCTGTCATGTATCTGCAAAGAAATGCATTCTCCCAACAACTCAAATGATCTTGGAAACAAACTCTTATCCAATTGAGCCTCCAGATGAGAACACAGCCTGCCTGACAACTTGTGAGACCCTGAACATACAATGTTTGGTTTTCCATTCCTGAGTTACTTCATTTAGAATAATAGACCCTGAGCAGAGCTAAGTTATGCCCAGACTCCTAACCCATGGAAACTATAAAATAAATGTGTATTGTTTTAACCTGCCAGTTTTATGATAATTTGTTATACAGCAATAGATAACTAATACAGATTCTCCTAAATGAGCAGTGCAGGAATCTGCTTCTGGGAGACTATTATAGTTAACGTTAAGGATTACAAAACTGCAGATATGCCTGCTTTACAAGCTGGTATCATCTGCAGCTACCCACAAAGTGGAATTTGAGAGCAAGTGCTATCCCACCAGGTGTTCCAGCCCCTAACAGCCCTCCATTGCATGTTGGCAATTGGAGAGTAAACTTCTTCTTTTTTTTCTTTTTTTTTTTGAGACAGTCTCACTCTGTTGTCCAGACTGGAGTGCAGTGGTGTGACCTCAGCTCATTGCAACCTCCAACTCCCAGGTTCAAGTGATTCTTGTGCCTCAGTCTCCTGAATAGCTGGGACTACAGGTGTGCACCACCACACCCAGCTAATTTTTGTATTTTTAGTAGAGATGAGGTTTCATCATTTTGGCCAGGCTGGTCTTAAACCCCCAACCTCAAGTGATCTGCCCGCCTCAGCCTCCCAAAATGCTGGGATTACAGGCCTGAGCCACTGCACCTGGCCTGAGTAAACTTCTTAGAGTCTTAGAGGCAAGGCAGTTAAGGAGAAGAGCAAAAGCTTAGTAGTCAGATAGGCCAGATACTACCATGCAACTTTTGCCTATATTTATCTTTGTGTGACTCAGTTTTTTCATCTGTAGTGTTGGTGTAATCTACTTAGATATATCAAGAGGGTTTAAAAAAATCAAAAACTACCTATGAGGTACTATGCTTATCACCTGGGTGGTGAAATAATCTGTAGGCTAAACATGATATAGTTTACCTATAAAACAAATCTGCACATGTACTCCGAACCTAAAAGTTTTATTTATTTATTCTTATTAATTTAGTTTAATTTATTATCGTTTATTTTTTCCATAAGTTATTGGGGTACAGGTGGTATTGGGGTACATGAGTAAGTTCTTTAGTGGTGATTTGTGAGATTTTGGTGCACCCATAATGTGAGCAGTATACACTGAACCATATTTGCAGCCTTTTATCCCTCACCTCCCTCCAACTCCTGCTCCCAAGTCCTCAAAGTTCATTGTATCATTCTTATGCCTTTGGGTTCTCATAGCTTAGATCCCACATATCAGTGAGAACATACAATGTTTAGTTTTCCATTCCTGAGTTGCTGATTTAGAATAATAGTCTTCAATCTCATCCAGGTCACTGCAAATGCTGTTAATTCATTCCTTTTTCCATATATATATGATGGAATACTATACAGCCATATATATATATATATGATGGAATAGTATACAGCCATAAAAAGGAATGAATTAACATTATCAGAGTTTCTTTATCCACTCGTTGATTGATGGGCATTTGGGTTGGTTCCATGATTTTGCAATTGTGAATTGTGCTGCTATAAACATGCTTGTGCAAGTATCTTTTTCGAATAATGACTTCTTTTCCTTTGCATAGATATCCAATAGTGGGATTGCTGGATCAAATGGTAGTTCTACTTTTAGTTCTTTAAGGAATCTCCACACTGTTTTCCATAGTGGCTATACTAGTTTGCATTTCCACTAGCAGTGTAGAAGTGTTCCCTGTTCACCACATCCATGCCAACATCTATTGTTTTCTGATTTTTTTGTTTGGCCATTCTTGCAGGAGTAAGGTGGTATCACATTGTGGTTTTCATTTGCATTTCCCTGATCATTAGTGATGTTGAGCATTTTTTTCATATATTTGTTGGCCATTTGTGTATCTTCTTTTGATAATTGTCTATTCATGTCCTTAGTCCACTTTTTGATGGGATTTTTTGTTTTTTTCTTACTGATTTGTTTGGGTTCTTTGTAGATTCTGGATATTAGTCCTTTGTCAGACGTATAGATTGTGAAGATTTTCTCCCACTCTGTGGGTTATCTGTTTACTCTGCTGACTGTTCCTTTTGCTGTGCAAAAGCTCTTTAGTTTAATTAGGTACCAGCTATTTATCTTTGTTTTTGTTGCTTTTGCTTTTGGGTTCTTAGTTATGAAATCCTTGCCTAAGCTAATGTCTAGAAGGGTTTTTCCAATGTTATCTTCTAGAATTTTTACAATTTCAGCTCTTAGGTTTAAGTCCTTATTCCTTCTTGAATTTATTTTTGTATAAGGTGAGACATAAGGATCCAGTTTTATTCTCCCACATGTGGCTAGCCAGTTATCCCAGCACCATTTGTTGAAAAGGGTGTGCTTTCCCCAATTCATGTTTTTGTTTGCTTTGTCAAAGATCAGTTAGCTGTAAGCATTTGGGATTATTTCTGGGTTCTCTATTCTTTTCCATTGGCCAATGTGTCTATTTTTACACCAGTACCACACCATTTTGGTGACTATGGTCTCATAGTATAGTTTGAAATCAGATAGTGTGATGCCTCCAGATTTGTTCTTTTTGCTTAGTCTTGCTTTGGCTATGCAGGCTCTTTTTTGCTTCCATATGAAATTTAGAATTTTTTTTTCTAATTTTATGAAGATAATGGTGGTATTTTGATGGGAATTGTATTGAATTTGTTGATTGCTTTTGGCAGTATGGTCATTTTCACAATATCGATTATGCCCATCCATGAGCATGGGATGTGTTTCCATTTGGTCGTGTCATCTATGATTTCTTTCAGCAGTGTTTTGTAGTTTTCCTTGTAGAGGTCTTTCAACTCCTTGGTTAGATATATTCCTAAGTATTTTATTTTATTATTTTTTGCAGCTATTGTAAAAGAGATTGAGTTCTTGATTTGATTTTCTGCTTGGTCCCTGTTGGTGTGTAGAAGAGCTACTGATGTGTGTATATTAATCTTGTATCTGGAAACTTTGCTGAATTTTTTTTTTATCAGTTCTAGGAGCTTTCTGGAGGAGTCCTTAAGGTTTTCAAGGTAAACGATCATATTGTCAGTAAACAGTGACAATTTGACTTCCCCTTTATCGATTTGGATGCCCTTTATCTCTTTCTTTTGTCTGATTGCTCTGGCTAGGACTTCCAGTACTATGTTGAAGAGGAGTGGTGAGAGTGGGCATTCTTGTCTTGTTTAGTTCTCAGAGGGAATGTTACCAAAAATATTACCAAAAATAAAGAAGAATTTTTTTAATGATAAAGAGATCAATTCAGTTGTAAGACATAACATTTACAAATTTGTATTCACTCATATCAATCTTTAAAATATATAAAATGAAAATTGAGAGAAATAAAAGGATAAATGAAAAAAATAATGGAAATAAAGGATAAATAATGGAGAAATGAAGGATAAATGGGAAAAAAAAAACAGAGCTTCCACCACTACCACTTCCCGTCCATGTTCCCAGAACATTGTCCTTTTGATGGAAAGCTGTTATCTGAGTGCGGGTAGTTTATTTGGAAGGAGGCCCCAACAAATTTTGCTAGATCTGAGACACAGAGGGGAGGGAAATATCATCAAGCCAGTTGCTATTATAAGCTACTGGAGCTCAGTCCCATGGAGAGCCCTGGGTGATGGTATGGATCATGACTAAAGGCTGAACCAACAGAGAAGCAAGGAAGCTGTACTATGTCAGAGGGCTGTTCACAGGGGCATTGATTCTATGCCCTCTGCCTTGCCCTGTGCTTGGGCCAAATAGACTCTTATGACCAGAAAAAAAGAAAATTACATGTGCTCACT